>NC_000011.10:30969090-31120606 GCF_000001405.40 Homo sapiens | reverse complement strand
GTTTCTGTGGGACCTAGAGCTTGTCAAATTTGGGAGCCAGCTTGGGGTGGGGAGCTCTCTTTGAAATTAGGTCTGAAAGTGAATATTTATTTAGAATGAGAAAGTAAATCGCAACAAATCAATGGAGTGTTGGCAATTCAGGCTCTTTCTTCTGGGTCTTTTTTAGGCAGCTCATCAGAAATACTTACACAGAAGTATTTTATGACAACTTCCAGAACTCTTAGGACCTAGAATGACTCTAATCTTCATTAACTTCACTTAAATCCACTCTGACCATGAGCAAGAGAAATATGGTGGAATTTAGTAACCTGGATAATAACAAGATTCATAGCACTCTGATTTGGAGACATTTTTAGGCTTTCTATTTTTATATTGTTTAGTTATAGTGTTCTCTTCTATTGTAAGTAAATTTAAGCTTTGTTAAAGGGATAATTCAGAGATTTCTTTTTTAAAGGATGTCTTCATCCAGCATCTAGTTCATCATCCAGGTTGTATGCATCTAACAATTTTTATTCTGCCAATGACAGAAAGGAAGAAGATTTTAAATGAATAGTCCAGTAAATCCACATATTATCAAATAGCCTTGTCCAGAAGACATTGTGCTAGGAACTGTGGGAAGATGCAGAGAAGCATAGAACACCTTTTTGACCCAAGGCCACGATTATTTTCATACAATTAGAAACAATATGACAACACTATGAACAGATTAGCAAAACCAATCTGTTCATCTTCTTACCTTTTTACTACAATTCCATTATTTTAAGTTCCCAGGCCTCTTTACATTTTGAAAATGGGCTAATTTGGTTGGTAACAGAAAACATGTGACTTTCCTGTGCATTGAATACTTAAATTTATTCTTTGAATGGCACAAAAGCACCATGAAAGAAGTTGAGATTTGCCTTCTATTTTGTGGTCATTTTTAAAAAAGTTTAAAGTTTCCAATCATTCATTTGTATTAATAGAAAGCTTATTTTAATATTTAGGAATCTATGGAACAATTAAATGATAACTAAGGTCAGTTGCACATGAAAGTGTGACAAGATTTTTTTTGGTTGGTGTTTTCACTGTTCTATGTGCATATTACGTTATTTCCATTGTACATTCCTTGATCCGTGTCGTTCTTATTTAACCACTTTTCCTAAACATGTATTTATAACCCCTAGGATGCTCTGTTATGTCACCTAAATTATTTGAGTAAACAATGGGAAACAAATTTAGGATATGGCTTAGGTACAGTTAGTAAAACATGCCAACTTTGCGTTCATTTGAAAAGGAATTGTGGTGAGAGTAGCAAAATTGGAATATTCAAGGTTATTGTGATTTTGAGAACATTCACTAAAGGTTGGGCAAAATGTAATGAAGATGATCAATTTTCATATGTAGGTTTTACGATAGTAGGAAAATATTGGACTGCCCATTTTAAAGGTAAAGAAACAGATCCTACGAAGCCTTTACACATCTCATGTGATAGCTAATTAGCGGCAGGTGCTGAAATCTCTTGACTCTTCTTTGCAGCGCTCTTTTCCATCTTGCCACCACCTTTTCTTCCTCCTGTCCTCATTGCCCCACTCCTCCTCCTCTTTGTGGATTTTGGGGGGAAAATGCCAGTATATTCATACTACCTTATTTTCTGACAGGCATCTGCAGTCAGGTGTAAATCTCCGTAGGAAGATACAATCTTCCTTTTCAAGATGTGCTGAAGAGAAAAACTGCGTCTGTATCAAAATCAGGGAAGAGCAATTGGTCTGGGCATTAGCTCCCATGCAGTGCCTGTTATAATGAGACAGGCTTTCCCTGTGCAGGCCTGACATCCTAGAAGGTGCCCGGAGAATTGCCAGGTGGGCAGTCAGCGGGGAAAGTCCACAGGCCAGAGCTGTATTACTGTCCCAGCAGTTATTCGGACTAAATGCAACCACTGAACCTTACTGTTGCAGGCACACACTCTCTCTCAGTGAGATTGTCCTTCTCCATAACAGTTAATTTGTTTTTACCTCTCAATTAGCTTTTTCACGGAGTGTTTGATATGTTCAAGTTGCTGAGATTCCTTTCCTACATATGTTCCCGTCCCCTGGATTACCGACTGACATCTATGTTAGTCTGACTCACCATGAACGTTATCGAGCATAAATTCTTCATTTGAACATAAATGAATGCAGATTTTCTCGTAAGTGAAAATGGGGTGATGAATTTACACCTACTTAAGATTCTACCTAGTTTTGATTGTGTTTTATGATGAAAAAAATGGATTACTTCTTAAAATATAAATGTTTTATTATAGATAGTAAGCTTTTGTACAGCTTTTAGTTTCTCAGGATACTCATTCACTTTAGGGGAAAATTATGTTTACAGGCATATTTGATATAAAGAAATGAAACTGAATGGCAGTAAAAGCATACACTCTTTCCAAGGGTAAGAATATGATCTATAAGGCTGATAATTTGGGGAAAGTTTGATGATTTAGTTTATATTTAATCCTACAATGTTCATTTCTCCTAGTAAAATAAAATTTGAGGGGCACATGACTATGTTTTTCTCATCAAAAAAACACTGACTTTCTATAAAAATAAATATATTGGTGCCAGGAAACTCCAAAAACCTTTATTTACCAAGCTCTTTTTACAAAATACATCATACTCAGCTACTGACAGGACCCACATGCCTGATATTTTAATCCCGATTAAATATAATTTTAGGGATTAAGTTAATTTAGACAAAGTGAAATCCTTGTTGCAATTCTTCTTGAGATATTCCATTTATAAAGGGCTTTTTGAAATTACTTGGCTTAGGACATGACACGCAAGCAAATTTCCTTTGCCACTGTCTTCTGGAAAGTTTTAAACATTTTCATATATTGAACTTAGATTTGCAATTGGATACAAATTGATTTTTTGTTTTTTTTTTGCAGAAACATATGCCTTATTTTTTGTCAATAGTCACAGCAAAATGGGGTAAGACTATTTAAAAAAATACTATAAGAAAACAATGGAAAGTGAGTTTAGATACTTACAAGGAAGGAATGTGGGCCCACTCCCAAGATCACTGAGAAGCTGATGAGGGCCATTTTACAGGAGTCTCCTTTGGCCCTTCCTCTGCTCCAGCCCTCCATTAGGGCTGGCAGATAACCCAGGCTCTTATTACCACCCTTTGCTCAAAACTTGCTCTTAGGAAAGAGACATGCCATTCTTTGTTTTGAGCTAAGATAGTAGTTTAGAATTTTTTTTTTTTTCCTGAAATCAAAATTCTTTCTTGGAATCTACTATGTAAAATAGATAAAAGTAGGATCTACCCTGTTTGAAGCCAGGATAGTGGCTGCTTCCACATAGTCACTCATCAGATCTGATTCCCCGTGTGAAACCACTGTTGCCCAACCCCCTAATCCCAGCCTACCCTAGGCCTCTGAGGGGTACCAGAAAGCTGCGATTGAAAATCACAGCCTTAGAGGATCAATAACCAATGAGGCTGAATATAATTTCCCCTCATGCAGCTGTGGCATTTTAATTGTGACAAAGGAGTGAATCTCTAACTGAAATTTCAAGTATTGGCAAGTTGGTGGGAGAGATATTTTGAGGTTAGAGTCTTTGGGCTCCCTTCTAAAATCCTACCCTATAGGCAGCCACCTACTTTACATACTTCGAAATGGTGAGCTCTGCTATATCTTACAATGGAATTTTAAAGTATCTCCTTCCAAAAAGTTATCTTCTTTGGTATGCCTTTTCTGGGCTTAAAAAAAAATTGATTGTTGGTCCAGTTACCATTTAGATTGATGAAGTTTAAGAATTATGTAATTTGTTTTCACTTAAGTGCATTTTCATTTCCTGGGACAAAATTTAGTGGCTCCTTACTTGTTAAATAATATTTAAAGACATATGTATTAGGCATTAAAACACTTTTTCTTATATAGTATATAGCATAAATATATGAATTTTTAATTAAATTTTTGTTGCCAGAATCCCATAATTTTAATATTTGGTTTGTCATTATCACTTTGAATATTAAAATTAGACAAGTTTACTGTTTGATTTATACTATATCATATATTTGAGAAAATGTCAAAAATATGGATATTCTAAAAACCATCCTTCAAGTCTATAAAAAAGGAAAAAGTAGTACATGTATTTTATTTAGTGTACATATAATGTTAATTGAGTTAGAAGTGATTTTCTGTATTTGAAAGTGACTTTGAATTCTGGTTGGATAAATTTTTTTTTTCATGGCTAATTAGCTTCTTACATAAGAAAAATATTTCACTTTAATTTTTGTGTTATTTGATTTAGGTAAAAACTCAACTATATAATATTTTTCTATGCCTTTAAAATTTTTCATTTCAATTTTCATATATTAGAGCTTCTAATATTAGATATAAGGTAAATTTTGATATCTATAGTTAAAAATGTCATTGGACTTGATTTCTAAAGATTTCCCTGCCCCTTATGAGTAGATGTGCCTTGGTGAAGTCACTCAGTCTTTCTGAGAGTCACCTGTAAAATCCAGTTGTTTTGAGTATTGAGTTCATGTAGGTGACAGTGTGTCCTGCACTCTGACCTATCATGTGTGTGTGGAGTGGATGCTGTGCCACACTGCCCAGATTCCCTCTCAGGACTGAGATACCCATCCCCCCCCCCCCCACTGCCACAGCTATATCCTTCTTAGATAATTGCCCTCAGTGTAAAGGAGCTGCTTCTCCCAAGATTAGGCTCCCACCCTCGGGGCAGCCTGCATCCAACATTTGGTTGGTACACAGATGCAAAGGCATGTCTCCCTTTTCTTAATTCTGAACAACCTTAAGTACCTTCCCAGTTCTAGAGCTCCCACCAGAGGCACTTGCTTTGCCCATCTGCCCATTGTTTTGCTCATTCCCTCACCAACATTGGTCCTCAGAGAGTTCCCAGTAAACTTCCTGCAGGCAAATCTTGGTCTCAGGGTCAGTTTCAGTGGTCCCCAATCCAAGACAACATGTAAGTTAACCTTGTATGTTCATTATGTGTTTAATTATGTTCACCTGAAATATGCCAGATAGTTTTGTGTGGCTATTTTATATTCCTTTCCTTCACCAGACCTCTAGTAATAAATCCTGTTACAGTACACCCAACCAACTTTGGCAACACACTGCGGTGTCATTTTTCTATTATTGCCTCTTGACAGCATTGCATCCTGAGACATTTTGAAGCTTAGGTGTTTGGCCTTCTGCTCACGCACAGAAGAGCTTCCTGGGTGGTCTGCCCAGTGGTTATGGAGAGTTTGGGAACCTGCTGTTCCCCCACAGCTAGTTCTTAACCAGACCTCTAGCATTAAAGGCTAGATAATAGTACTGAACTAGGCCTTGCACAAGTCCTTAAATAGATGTCATAAGTGATTACAGGCAAGCTCATCAAAGAACTACATTGGCTCATAACTGCCCATTCAGGGCAGCTTTCCCTATATAGTTTAAGTTTCCCTATATAGTTTAAGTCACTGCCTCTAAAATCTTCACAGTCAATAAAATGTTTTTAGTACTTCGTTGACATTTTTATGCCTTCACAAATACTCTCTGTGAACAGTTATATTTACATTGATTTATTTACATCCATAAATGCAAACATAATGTTTCTGAAATATTAACCTACCTACAAATTTTATTTTCCAGTCCTGCTAATAAACAAAGAAGCAAATAGCATAACTCTGACAGAACAACAGAAACTGCCCATTTCTCAGCATGTCAATTGTTAATACTCTTGTTTGAGCCACTGTTAACCCTGGCTTCGGATTGCCTTTGCCTCCTACAGTCTACTCCAAGGCAGCAGCCATAATGATCCTTTTAAAAAATGTGTTAATAAGTCAGATCCTTTTACCACAGTATTCCAAACCCGGCAGTGATTCCCCATTTCATTCTCTACCCCTTACCTCTCTGATTTCTTATTTACTTTCTCTCTGCATCACTCTGCTCCAGTCACAGTAGCTTCCTTACAGTTCCTGGAACATACTGGACACATTCCTGTCTTGCTTCATTGCTCTGGCAGCTCTCTCTGCGTGTAGTACTCTTCTCCCTGTTGTCTGTTGGGCTAACTCTTTTACCTCTAAATCTTTGCTCAATTGTTTTCCCTCTTTGAAGCTTATCCAGATCACCCATTTCATATGATGACCAGCACATCCATCACACTCCTTGATTCCAGGCCTGTATCCCCTGCCCTGATGTATTTTTTCTCCTTTACATAGCACCACCTTCTAACCTACACAGGGTGCATTTACCATGACGCTAATGAAACTTAAGCTTTAGGGCCCCTTCCCTGCATAATGCCTGTAAAATTTGCAAATGTAATGTATTTTAACTATAATTGGTTAACCCTATTGTCTCTTTCCACTTCAATTTCTTCTCTTTCATACCCTTTCTTATACCACGTGATTTTGAAATGATTGCACACATTTTTGAGGTATGGCTAAGGAGAAATTGAATTAGGGATACATTGAGTTGGGTGTAGTGGAATCTAGTTAGTGTTTTGCAGTCACTTCTCTATATAGCTCAGTTAGTACTAGCCATTTTGGTATGGAAAGAGCTTCCAGGAAGATAGCTACTGCCTGTTGACCTTATCGTGTACTGTTTTCTGATTGGTGCACTAGAGTGCCTGGCACCAAAAGTATGTGGGTGGGTGGTGGAAGAGAAACATGGTGTGAAATTAACAGAGCCAATTAATTGGTAGAATATTTTTCCACATTTTACAGCTCATATTTTAAAGAAATCTGATTGAGGTTTTCCAAAATGTGGCATCAATCCTAAAACTTTTAATGAAATGACCAATGAAATTGTGTTGCCAAAAGAAACTTCTAATCAAGAATAATTTTTTTTTATTAACCATGCTAGAGATAAGGCCAGATTATCTTTCGATTATCTCTATAGAAGATGTTACAGACGATGGGGTTATGCCCTGCCCAAATGTCCATCAATGATAGACTGGATTAAGAAAATGTGGTACATATACACCATGGAATACTATGCAGCCATAAAAAAGGATGAGTTCATGGCCTTTGTAGGGACATGGATGAAGCTGGAAACCATCATTCTGAGCAAACTATTGCAAGGACAAAAAACCAAACACCACGTGTTCTCACTCATAGGTGGGAATTGAACAAGGAGAACACATGGACACAGGAAGGGGAACAGCACACACTGGGGCCTGTCGTTGGGTGGGGGGAGGGGGGAGGTATAGCATTAAGAGATATACCTAATGTAAATGACTAGTTAATGGGTGCAGCACACCAACATGGCACATGTATACATATGTAACAAACATGCACGTTGTGCACATGTACCCTAGAACTTAAAATAAAAAAACAAACAAACAAAAAAGAAAATGTTACAGAATTACTATATGAAGAGGTGATCAAACACAATGCAGTAAAAAATGTGCTTTGGATAGTTAATGAAAATATTTTGTGACTTTTCCTGAATTTTTAATGTTTTTGCTACGTGTCAGCTTTTTTAATCTGTGTAAGTTGTTTTCTTATTCTGAGTATTTCATAACTAGTTTTGCATTGTAGTTTTGCATTGTTTTTGTTAAAGAAGACCCACTAAATTATACAAACTTCAGGTCTCACAAGATCCAGGTGTACCCTGAATATGCTATATGATTTACTCATTTGTTGTGTTCTGCTTATTGCTTATTGTCGGCCCCTCCCTCTAGTCCAGCACAGGGTAAACACATTGAGAGCAGGAATCTTAGTTCACTGATGCTTTTTAAGTTCCTGAACAGTGCTTGGCACGTAGTAGGCACTCAGTAAATATTTGTTGAGTGAATAAATTGACATTACAATGAAACTTCGGTGTTAATCTAATTTAGTTTAGCTTAAGAAAAGTCAATATTGACATGAAGGAAAGTAAAAAGACTGTGGTGCATAAAAAACACTCTCTTGAAACTCTGTACTTTGTGTTGCTAAGGGCATAGAAGTAACTTATTCCTATTTCTACATGTTTCTTCAGTAGTTGTTAGCTACTATGTTTTTCAACAGGATCTGCATCATGATTTTTTAGGTTCTATGACCTTATTCCTTAGGACCCAAGGCTAGCCTCAGCTGGCTTTCTGCATCATCCCACTCCAAGGGTGAGAATTTAATTTTAGAGCTATAGGGAGGTGAGGCCATGCAGAGAGCCACTGGGAAGCCAATACAGCAGCTGATTTTTCTTAAGCCAAGAATTGGGCAGGAAGAAAATAAAGGTAGACTACTTTTAATTTTCCCGTATCTAAGTCAATCATAGAAACTCTCTCTTTAGAAAGCTATCTTTGTTTAAACATTGGATATTGGAAATAAAAATATTCCTCAGGCAAAGGAGGAATAAGTAAATAAATATATTTTGGTATATATATTGCATTTTAAAAATAGGCATATTAATATAGAGCTTAAAAACTAGAGCTGAGCTTTAAGAAAAACAGAATCTCTTAAGATTTCAGTTTGGAGAATTTTTAGGTTTTTGGACACACAGTGAAAACACATTATATGTATGACTAGTGGAGGGCAGCCTCCCTTCACTTAAGCATCTAAACTTTTATATAACCACTAAAATATCTCTTTTTTTTATGCCCTTGTAGGATTTGCAGAGGTCACAGCCAATTTTTATTTTTATTTTTGAGAACACTTTTCTGGATGTAGAAGGGAAGGCTTATTATCAGCAGTGAAGAAAGTAGTGAGCTAATGAAGGTATTAGGTGTTGACCAAGACGTCTCTGCTTTCTCAGGTTAGCAGTTAGCACTTGGCACTGCTATTTTCTAGAATATAATTTGCTGCACTCTGACTCCATGTCTAGCAAGTCTCGACAAAGGAACATCAATAAGTTCTCCAAACTGAGCTTTTGTCAACACTAACCTTGTAGAATACATGCCACCTAGAATTGTGACCTTCACTGCTAAATTTCTCTGTTGCTTAAGAGTTTTGTTCCAAAGTTGAGCCCTGAAGAGATTATGGGGACAGTAAGAGTCTTTTCCCACATTATTTTCCATAGGTTTGCAGGCAAAAGTTGGGTTTACCAGTTTCCTTGGAAAAGTAGAGAGATTTTTTTTACTCAGAATTGTATCTTTACTCAGGATTATTACTTAAAAATAATCCTCAGTGCACCAAGGCTGAAAGCTGTAGGTTCTTGACTGGACTATCAGTAGCTCAATGAACGTCACTGACTGGAATGAAACCTGCAATTTTTGACATTACTACTCTTTTTATTTTTCTTTTTTTATGACTAAAGGCTGAGGAAGTGTTATTGAAACACATTATTTCTAAAACCAGGTTGAGACAATTAAATACATTTCAAAAACTTTCTCAAAAAATATAAAAAAGGTAGTTTTTTTTTTTCATTTTTAAATAAATATTCTTCCAAATTATCTTCTCTGGAAATAGCACTAGAAATAAATAAAATGGCTCTGCTGATGTGATGGGCATATCAGAGAGGGAAGAAAAGAACTTTTGAGAAAAAAAATAAAAAGCAGGGATTTAAATTATTCATCAGGCCCCTCTCTCAGCTGCTTCCTTTCTTGCCTGGTGAATGGCACACCCCACATGGATCCTCCGCGTGGTTGGAGGGGTGGTGTTCACTCTAGTGAAGCCATCCTGTCGGGACTGGTTTATTCAGATCCTTTTGACCAGAATGTTTGCTAGCATTTTTTTTTTTCCCCAGCGAGTGTTACATAATGCAATGTTATGAATTTTATCTCTGTTCTCAACAACTTTTTGGATATGTGCACTTAAAATGGATGACTTTCATCACACTGTTATGCAATAAATCTGTCAGGTTAAATTTCCTTTTAGTGTGCCAAAAGATTAGCTGAACGCTGATATATTTAAGTATAAACCAAAGTATGAATATTCCTTACCTTATTTGTGGCTTTATGAAGAACAAAATGAGCTAGTTAGGTTGCTATTGACTTTTTTTTTTTTTTGACACTTGCTTCATTTAAGCATCCGCTGTGGTCAGTGATTCCTCCTTTAATGTCCACATTTTCTTCTATTATAAGATTGTAGGGTATGCCAGTCAAATTAGACACTGAAACCAAAAGGAGAAGCAGGAGCCTTTCTTTTCTTTTAGTGCTGTTGATTCCATTGCCAATTACTTACTCACATGTGTTTATACAGTCGGTCCTTGCTTTGCACAATTCCCATGTACACAATTTTCAGTTGACATGGTACCATGAAAAAGGATGACTGCCTAAATTTATCTAAGTATGTATGAATATATGTATGTATGTGTGCATGTATTTATTTTTATTTTTGAATATGTTTATTTTTCAGGTATTTGAAAATGGTAAAAACACTGGAGAGATCTCTGTTGGTATCAGTAAAAAAGATTTGGGATCGGATAGCCCAATTCAAACTGACCATATGATGGAAAGAGTGAGTTTACTGACAGTTTACTTATGACTTTAAGTGTCTTGCAAGTTACTTGCAACTAATTTAGACAATTACATCTTAAAGTTGTTTGCAGAAGATCAATGGTTTGTTGATCTGTAAAGACTGATATCACAAAGATTTACTTCTGAATTTCTTAGGCTTTCAGCGTTAGTATAGTGTTAACTCCTGAACTCCATACCTAATGGTTTCTTAACCTTCTTCATGCTTATATTTGGAATCTGTCTATGCTTGGCCCTGGTTTTGATACATCAGGATTTCCCTCTTGTTTACAGTAAAAAAAAGTGATATATTCAGTGGAGGGTATGCCCTGGATCTAGGGTATTTCTAAACCCTAGATTCTGAGTAATTAACATGCAGCCTTGGTCTTCTCCCTGCTCATTGTGAGCAAGTTCAGCTAGTTTTGCTTACATCTTAGGCACTCTTACCTTTTTCTGTTTTCCAGACAATTGGGATGTTTCTCAGGCAGAACCAACATGCTCAGGCTCTTTATTTTGGGTCTTTGTCTTGCATAAAAGGACACTGAACAGCCTGTTGTTTACAAATTGGGGTTATGCACCCGAGCGCACAGCAGTGTTTTGGGCTCTCTTGCCTTGCCTTTGTTCAGTAACTTGCTCCCTTTTTCTCCCTTCAGTTCAGCACCCTCAGACTTACCTCTCCTGGTGGTATCCATTACCTGGCTTTTACAGCCAATCGAAAAAGTTGTATATGAATTGGGATGCTCTCATTGGATCATTAGCTGGACCTGGAAGAGAGGAAGAAAAGCTACTTTGATTAGAGAGAGAAGGATCCAGAGCCTTGGCTGGTTTCTTTTTACCATAACATAACTGATTACACAAATCACCATGACACAAAGGCCTTCATAGGATTTTTCACCTGTCTCCCCGGCTTTTTACATTAGAATATTTTACCAGCCTGAGCAACATGGCAAAATCCTGTCTCTACAAAAAATAAAAAAAATTAGCCTGGCATGGTGGCATGTGCCTGTAGTCCCAGTTACTCGGGGGCTGAGGTGGGGGGATCACTTGAGCCTGGGATGCTGAGGTTGCATTTAGCTGAGATCACACCACTGCACTCCAGCCTGGGTGACAGAGTGAGACCCTGTCTCAAAAAAAAAAAAAAAAATGAAGATATTATTCTATAGAAACTTTTTGTGTTGACTTATAGCACACTGAAATTGAGCTGTGCTGTGCTTCTGTATGCAATAAATCTGGGGCAAAAACATTAATTAGGGGCATTATAAAGTTCTTTGGGAGAGCCCTTGTGACACCACCCAAGGACAACTGCTCCCTTGTGTGGACACGTGTTTCAATCACTAGCCTAAGATGTTTCACACTCTTTTCAGGTTCTTGAACAAATTCTTATGCTATAAAGGCCTGGTGATGATAGCTTTAAAGATAAATGGGTGAAGATTATCACAATTTTTGGTTGCCACAGCAAAGCCCTAACCAATGACCTAAAGATGAAGGGCACAGAGGCCCTTACCTCCTGAAGACTGTTGAATGCTCATCTTTGAACACCTAAAATGCAGTCTGTCACCAACTTGAGAAAATAGAGATTGCAATGCAACTCCTGTGAAAGTGAATTTGGTTAAGTGGTCAGATGCTCACATCACATGTCTACCTCGCATCCCTCTTCTTTGTACACACATTTCCTTCCTGGATCAGGCCTTAAATCTTTGGTATCATTCCTTTTTATAAAAAGGTGATGCCTGTAAAGCAAAATCTCTGTGATTTAAAAAATGATCAGCATAACATGTTTTCTGAAATAATAGCAAAGCAACAAAAATAAGCTCAAGAGCTGAAACCACACAAAAATAAATGTAGGGCTTTAGAAATACAATCTATAGATTTCAAAATATGTTTGCCATTTCCATGGAAAAATAACCAAGGCAATATAGATTTTTACTATTCTAACACCTTTGCCTCTTATACACCTAAAGAGGAGAGTAATGATCATTTTTAATTCAAAGGAATTGGCTATGCTGGATGGGAAGTATTAATGCCTTTCCAATGCTCAAGACTAAAAATCTTCAGCTAATGAAAACACTAAGTTGGAGATACTATTACGTATCTCTAAGTAGGACAAAGCCTAATACTTAGATCCTATACATGCAGTTTCTGGTCAAAAGAAATATTTGCTCAGTCAAGAGTTTACAGCCAATCGTGAGACACCTGAGATGCATGGAAGACCTGTGACTTTCCCTTCTTTCCTCTAAGCCTCAGCATTTAGCACTTCTCAATATACCCTCAATGGGGATTAATAGAGGAGCAAAAAAGAAAAGAAAAGAAAGGACCCTGAACTGCAGTTAGGCCAGAAAAGACCACAGCTATATCTACATCCCTGCAGGGATTACAGGATAACAAGAAACCGAGAGACACAAGAACTGACAAGGGAGAGATGAAAAGGAACCCCGTGACAGAAGGCTGGGGGAAGAGTGATGGATAGGGTGGAGTGCAGAGCAAGGAAGAGCAAAGGCTGAAACACTTAAACAAAGGTGACAGAGGATAATGAAAAATGTCTTTTCAAATACCATATGCAGCACAGTTCTGTTAGATTTACTTTATATTTGAAATATGCCCTAAATTAGAAATATCTTGATAATTTAGAGACTCTAAATGCAAGATAGAAGCAAACACTGATAATGCTATTATCTTAAATATTAAATGACAGCTTTTCATACTTCACACTTCCATGATGTCTTTCTTACAACTTAAAAACATTCATTATTGAAGATGTCCACAAGCTATTTCAGGGTTCATAATTAAAATGCTTCTAGGGAGAGATCTTTGTAAGTGAACCAACTTAGGCTAAAAGTCATTTTAATTTTGGCAGTTGTCCTACTACTGGTTACCTGAGATTTGCTGGGGACAGGGAGATTGGTGATTGTGAAACTTGAACGTGGTCTGGAAGGCCCCTAACAAAATGTGTAGCTCAGACAAGAAAAGCGTAACCCTTATCAAAGAGGACCGTTACCATGTGTAGAAGCTAAATGCTCTTTCTGTAAGACTGTCACATCTGCTTTCAGTCCCCGTGCCAAAGGGTCAGAGCTCAATCACAAGCCTGTGGCCCCCCCTGCTGGTTAAAAGCCCATGCTCATTTTGTTACTTTACACTGAGCTAAACATTGCCGTCATTTCACACTTCTTTTAACATTCTATATGAATTTAATTATCATTTGTTTGGACTTCATTTGTTACAGAGTAGAGACAGTTTATTACAGATGTTCCCATTTTAGGTTATTTATTCTCCTCTATCCCCTCTGCCCCTCTAACCCCCAACCAGTTACTTCTCAAGATTCATCAAAGGCTTCAAGGTTCTTCCATCAACCCACCAGGCCTCAATTATTCTTCAATGCGGCTTTTTGATGAGAATGGCCAAGAAATTAAGAATCCACTTTCGCTGAAGAATGAGCAAAAAATTTGGGTCTCTTATGGTAGAGCATACAGGTAGGAGCAAGGGGTTTGTTTTCTGTCCTCAATCTTTCCAGGGGAGAGCTAATTTGAAAGCGGATTTGAGAAGTCAAGTAGCACCCTTCATGAAACATTTTTTATTTTGAATTCCAATAAAATTTTAGAGGTGTTTTTGCAAGGCAGTATTGTTGGTGGAATATGACATCTCCTTCTCTCTCTCTATCTCTGTCTGTGACTTTCTGTCTTAATGCCTTGTCATAGTTCTTGAAGTCTGCCTGTCAGCACAGCAAGAGGGATTTGTTCATGTCTGAGTAGTCACCTTAATGATAGCAGATGGAAACGCCACGGGGGGCCCAAGCCCATCACACTGTCATTGTCGCACACTGCCCTGACCTGCTTCCACTCCTCTATTTTTTTTGTCCCTTTTTAAAGGAGAAATGGATGGTAATTGAAAAGGATCTTAAGCAAGATTTATGAAGCTGTAGACAACATGATTCCCCACTATCTCTCTATGTTTTCACAAATAAAGTCTTAACCTTTTAAGCACCAATGACAGGACAGCTAAAGATAAATTGGTAAAGCTTGTAAGCCCTATCCTATCAAAGTTATATTCCTCAAAAGCACCTTACATTATCCCACAATAATTACTGGTTATTGCTGAGCATTGTGTAAATTTTTGTAGATTGGTAAATTCCTGCATAAAATTATCTGTGTTTCTGAAGAAAGAAAAAGGCTGCAGTATATAGGCACTGATGAGCTGGGCTGTTGTTTTCAATATCTAGGAAATTTATGCATATTTTGACAGAACACATCCAGATGAACTCTGAAACTGCTTGTCAGGAAACTTAAACACACTTCTCTATTTTTAATTTTTTTAGCTTATTATCTGTAGAACAGAATAAGGGAAAATAATTTTTCATATAGAGTATAACTGATCATATATTAACTATAATGAAAATAGCATAAATAAACCTAAATCTTAGCAAAGCAAGGGCTATTGGATTTGCTATATATTCAAATAGTTAAAATTTCGAATACTGAAACAAATGTACTCAGAAATCCATCAAGGTTTTGGAAGATGTTGCTAGAATAAGTTGTGGATCACATGTTACAAAATTTTATTTCATCTGTCCCAGATGAAATATTAAAATGCTTGATGATTTCTTAGGCTGTGTAATTTAGAGAATTAAAAAATCTCTAAGGAATGGTAAGTTTTTGTCCATAGATAAATTTCAAAATATAATTTAATTACGTTGTAAGTAGAATTGTTTTTTCAATGATAAAAACTGATGAATTTTAAAGTGGCAAGAATTCTTGAGTAATCTAGTAAGCCCTTCCTATTACAAGGATAGGCTTTAATAAAATGTGTCATTATTATTTCTTTTTAATATTATTGTCAAAGTGAAAGTAATGACTCACTAATTTTGATACGTTTAATGATGTTTGCTATAATACAGCATTTTAATAATATTAAACATTTGTTTTTGGCTAATTGGATCATATTTGCGGAATAACTGGTAAAATGCCAAAAATCTGAGATATTCTAAAAATCAGCTGAGAATTGTAGTCGGAGAAATTTACCAGTGCATATATTTATTTGTATTTCATTGTGATTTTAACAGTTTAATGTATTTTTTTGGTTTCCAGTCCAACATAAAGCACCAGGAAACCATTACAGCATTTTGCTACCATAGGAATGTTTAAAATGTATATGTCTAAAAAGTTATTGCCGTCTAGTTTGAAATATGTTGAGAAAATGTGCAATACGTGTTAAGTAAATCGTTTTCATTTTCAGTAAGTAATTCTACTGAGTCTAATTTATGTTGATTTGAAGGGGTCAAGCTACTCATTTGTAAAAGATGATTTTTGCCGATGTCCGCTTCTATTTTGAATATTTTATTTTTCCTTCAATTTTTTATTTTGAAAAAATTTAAATCTAAGGAAATTTGAAAAAATAGTACAATGAGCTCCTGTATATCTTTCACCTAGATTCACCAATTTAAAGAGTTTGCCACATTTGTTTTACCTGTTATATATCTCCCATCTCTCTCTCCCTCTTGAACGGCTTGAAAGCAATTCCAGACATTAAAATTTCACTCCTAAATGCTTCAGGTCACATAACTGAAGAAGAGTTATGTGTCACCACATTATAATATCTAACACAGTCAACAGTAATGTAATATCCTCTAATATACACTCTATATTCAAGCTAACCAAAATATGCTTTAGAGCTTTTTGTAATCCAGTATCCAAATATACTTCCTTGTATTATATTAGTTATTTTCTTTAGTTGTCTTTAATCTAGAATATTCTTTTAATCTTTTGTTTTGTTTTTCATGACATTAATTTATTTTTCAAGAGTCCAGGCATTTTTCTTGTAGAATGTCCCACATTCTGGGTTTGTCTGAGTGTTTTCTCATGATTAGATTCAGTTTAAATATTTTTGGCAACAAGACTGCAGAGGTGATGTCGTTGATTTTTAATTCTAGAGATAAATAGCGAGTCTTAAGCAATTTAGAGAAAAATGGCTCATAGTGTACAATAGTGGCCATTGTTTTCATTTAAAATCTGTTTTTGATTTTAATTTCCAAATTCACTTAAAACAGTGTGCCTAACAATATGTAATATGAAAATCAAATCAGCATGGCATTTAGTGAGCTCACAGAAATAGTTGTTCGTGGCCAAATATTAAGAATTCATTTAATTATCAGCTCCCAAGATTACTATAGATGTATTGGATTACTGTTATACATGGAAAATGAACATTATGTGAATGACGATTGTTTTTCTCAACTAAATACTTGGCTTTAATTATTGCAATTATTATTTTTTAAATTACATATGTTGAAACTATTTTGGCATATTATAGATCAGCTAAATAAACTGAAGTATATATTTCAGGTGTTAATATAGAATACCAGCAATAGTGCTATACAATAGGAAACTCACTTATTTCTGAATTTTATTAGACAATGATAATGTGTATTTTATTGTTTATTTGTGCTCAAATTACAATGTATGTCTAATTTTGAAGATAGTTTTGATGTTTTATCCGTTTTTCAGATCTCCACTAAATCTTGCTTTGGGTTTGACCTTTGACCGAGTGAGTGCATTTGCCAGAGGTGATATCATGGTTGCATATAAGACCTTTTTGGATCCTAATGCTGTTCTGCTACCTGGATGTGGCAAGTAAATTAACAAGTAATCTTGTTAAAGATGTGGTTAAAGTAATCCAAATCACTTAATTCAGGATTTTTCAGAGTAAGAGATTCGAAACACTAAAAGATGCTCTTTCAGTTGTCTTAAATAAGCAATTGTTTCTTTTATTGACTTATTTAATGGTATAATGAGGTAGTGCCTAAAAGACTTGTTAACTTTCCTTAGTTTTAGAAAACCATATGGGGCCATGAGCGAAGTATAGTTTCTGCTTTGCAGAAACAACAATTTGGTTTGAAACATAAAAGCTGTTTTTAGTGGTTATTTCTAAATTAATCATTTATAATGGAATCATTAAAATATAAAATATGTTCTGTGTGAGTGTTCACATTTAAACTTCTTATCTGATGATGATACATTTAAAACAAAAGCAATGTTCTGGGGACTCGTTGGGGCAGTGAAGAGTAGGAGTTGGAAGATCTAAGGAGGCATTTTGCTTCGTCTCTGCTCGTGATTGTCCAGGAGCAGATTGGTGTTGGTTTCTTATCTGCAAATAATACAAACTGGCTTTTACTGAGTGTTGACCATAGGCCAGGCACAGTTACAAATTAACTGGGTAAGGATCGATTTAATTCTCACAACAATTACGTTACTCCTATTATTCCATATTACTCTACTCTTACTCCATTTCTCAGAGACAGAAACCAAGGCACAAAGAGAGAAGTAATTTGTCCAAAGTCACACAGCTGGTACATGGTAGAGCCAGGATTCTAACCCAGATCATTTGTCTTAAGTACCTGAGTGCTTAATCACTATTTAGTGCCGTCCAATAAAACTTTCTGTGATGATGGACACACACTTTGTGACTACTGAGCATTTGAAATGTGACTAGTGTGAATGCAAAACTGAATTTTAAATTTTGTTCAAGTAAATTAATTTAAATTTAAATAGGAATAGGTAGCTAGTGACTACCATATTGGACACTGCAGCAGATCCTGATACTATTTTGGATTAGGTAATCTATCTATAAGTTCCCACCTAGCTATAACAACCTTATAATTTAACAAATTGTAGCTCTTTTTAATAAACAGTTGAAAATGCTGAAGTAGAAGGCAAATACAGAGAACCAAAAGCAGTCTGATGAGATCACTCAGTCCAGCCAGTGACAACCTATTGCTAAATATGTCTAGAGGGACATACTCATTGATAGTTGTTTAAATAACAGCTTTATTCCCCAATGACTGCTGGTACTTTCCAGGCAAGATTTGATATATAAATTATTAGTAATGGAGTATACATAAAGCATAAAGAGTATTATAATTAAAGAGTAAAGGGCATTGTAATTAAATGCATATTATTCTAATAAAAATAATTACGTATTTTACTTTTCTTAGTTGGGAAGTTTGTGAGGGATTTCCAATTAATTTCAACTGTACCAGTCAACAGATACCTGACCAGTTTGAAAAGGTGGACTTGGAGAACCATTTTCTACAGAACAAGGTGGGATTTTAGTTATTGTACTTTAAAAGGTGCACTTTATGTATTGGACACTCAACCAATATATAATGAATATTTGTGACAGTTTTTTTTTTTTTTTTCTGAGATGGAGTCTTGCTCTGTCACCCAGGGTGGAATGCAGTGGTGCCATCTCGGCTCACTGCAGCCTCTACCTCCTGGGTTCAAGCGATTCTCCCGCCTCAGCCTTTCAGGTAGCTGGGTCTACAGGCACGCGCCACCATGCCTGGCTAATTTTTGTACTTTTCGTAGAGATGGGGTTTTGCCATGTTGGCCAGGCTGGTCTCGAATTCCTGACTTCAAGTGATCCGTCCACCTCGGCCTCCCAAATTGCTGTGATTACAGGCGTGAGCCACTGCGCCTGGACTGTGACAGTTTTTTTAAACTATAAATTATATTACAGTTTTTTAAACTATAAATTATTTTTACAAATATTGGGGCAGGTGTTATTCTTTACTTCCTGTTAATTAACCAGGCACTTCAAAACGGAAAACAATATATTTAATTCCTACTTGAAAAACTTATACCTGATTTATGTTATTTAAGCTGTATTGTTTGACATATTTTCTTTGTACTGTTAATAGCTATAATAATAAGTTGGAGTTATTTAAGGAAGTCTTTAAGATGGCTGCTATCTCTATAGTTTAGGATCTGATCTATTTGCTCTACAGGTCAATGCATCTAAGGAACACAAGTTCTTTAGGAAACCTAACTCATGGCAACCCAATCCTGAAGGTCCATATCAATTTACACTTAGAAATTTATCCTTCCAGTAAAGAAGATGTTTTTTTTTTTCCCTCCAGCTCAATTATGAAAGGCGTTTTAAATCTATCTCCAAAGAAGGAATACTTATTTTGTTTTTCTTAGCTGGCAAGTGCTGTGTACGGTTGTTGCTCATTTTAGCAGTGTAAGCTTTAATTTTTGAACACATGAAATCAAAATCAAAAGTCACTCACAGAGACAGAGCAGTCCAAAGAAAGTAGGACTTCCTATCAATTGGGCCCTGTATTTCCAAGAGTCAATGCAAGAGACACATTGCCCCAACCTGCCTTTTTAAATTTCTTTATGCTCCCCATTCAGTTTCTCAATTATGTCAAAATTTAAACTGAAAATATTGATTATTTCAAGGAGCATATGGATCTAAATAGTGTACTTATAAAAATAGAATCAAATATTTCTACTTCTGCCGGGTTTTGAGAAAATATAGAAGATTAAAGTAACTAGAATGATGTACTTATTAATGTATTTTGTATTTTGCCTTCATCTGACATTAATATTTATTTACTGTAGATCTGATCCTGTTGGTATTCATCATTAGATTTTTGCTGTAGCATTATTTTCCTGCTGAAAACACATGTATGCCTGGCTGTTGCCATTTGAAGTTCCGAATTTTCGTCTGGACTTCATTGATCCCCATGATTCTCCTCTAATCTACCTCCGCTCTCAACTTACCTTTCCAATTTTCTCCTCTTGCTCTGTATACTGTACATTACAGTCAGGCTAATCAATTGTGCACCAGAACATGCTTTCCACTTTCGTATACTTGTGCCATGGCTTGTATTGTTCTTTGCCTGGGATATACCCCCAGCCATTACCATTACTTGCTTCTTAAGGCTTTACTCAACTTACTCTTCCATAAAGCCTTCTCAGATACTCCAGAAAGAATTAATCTTTATTTTGTATTCTCAGGACTCATTATCTTCCTTTGAAAATTGTTGTTGAGTTTGTGTTTTGGTATAGGTATTTGCTTTTGTGTTTTTCCTTCACTAAACTGAGGATTCTTTGGGCACAGGCATTGTCTTACTCATCTTTGTGTTCCTAAGCACTAATGCAAAGTCTTGAATGTAGGGCAAATGCACAATACATATTTGATGAATGGATTTTTTTGTTTGCTTGTTTAGCCATAACCTAGCTTTCAAGGCTGAATATTCTCTAATATGGTCTTTGTCTGTTAGCCAAGCCAGATTGTTATTTGTTTTTTTTCTGAAAGCACTCCATGATTTCTGTTGTTATGCCCATGTGGACCTCTTTGACTAGAATTCCACCTTTCTTTGTCACCACACCCAGCCTTCTCTGTCACCCTTGTGCCATATCCTAGCACAGGGTTTGGCATGTTCAATAAAGGCTATTAAAATCCTGCCCATCAGCTGGGTGCAGTGGCTCACGCCTGTAATCCAAGAACTTTGGGAGGCCAAGGCAGGCGGATCAGGAGGTCAGGAGATTGAGACCATCCTGGCCAACATGGTGAAACCCCGTCTCTACTGAAAATACAAAAATTAGCTGGGTGTGGTGGTGCATGCCTGTGGTCCCAGCTACTTGGGAGGCTGAGGCAGGAGAATTGCTTGAACCCGGGAAGCAGAGGTTGTAGTGAGCCGAGATTGCGCCACTGCACTCCAGCCTGGCAACCGAGCGAGACTCTGTCTCAAAAAAAAAAAAAAAACAACAAACAAACAAACAAAAAAACCCTGCCCATCATTGTAGCCCTATCTGATTTGTGACTGCTTCATGAAACCCTTCTGTACCCCAACCCCATTTCCAAACCAGATATGACGTTTCCCTTCTGCGCCATTTACAATGACATTGAACTAGATGCTGTTCCTCTTACAACTTCTTGCATGGCTCAAAATCAACTAGGCTCCAAGTTTGAGCATATTTCAGGCTACATCAGCGTAGATGGGGGAGAATGGTAGGCTCTATTGGGGATGTTAGGATCAGATCATGAAGGGTCTTAATTCAATATTAGGGAATTCTGGTTTTTCTGTAGAAAGCAAGGAGCCATTGAAAATATTTGAACAGAGGCAAGATGTAATCTGATCTTCATATTAGGAAGATAACTCAGGAGGTCCTTGTCTTATCCTCCCTGCTAGATTGGAAATTTCTCAAAGGCAAAGGACATCCTGATCATCCCTGTCTCTGATGCAATATCTAGATATTCAGTTAGCTGACCTGAATTGAATTTAATAGTCGATTAAGTAATTCAACAGAGACCAACTCAAACCTAAAAACAATTGGATAGCAAAGAGATATCAGAGAAAAGGACCTCAAAGGAGGCTTTTCTCTTTGCTTTTATGTCAAAGTGGGTTAACTATAACAAGATAAATCTATTTTCTAAAATGTTGAAAAATGAGAGAATAACAGTCCACAGTTATTTTATCATTATTAAATGGTTCTAATGATTTAGTGAAAATGAGAAAACACTCATCATAAGTAAATGGTTATATGCTATGGCATTTTTAGTTTTTAAAAATTTTAGTTCAACAAAAATAGTACTGTAAGAAAGCAAAAATTTGATAAACTGGCTAGTAAAGAGAAGCTTTCAAAGACAAACAGCTCTTCCATAGCTGTGAAGCCTTTAAAATCCTTTCAGAAAAATGTCTCCAATTATTTACAGAGTGGTGATCAGTGCATTGGGAATAGTAATTTAATAACCTGAAAAGGAGCACTTTTAAAGATGGATTCAGGCAGAGGTGATGGATATCTATAGGGCATTTTATTGTAGAATCTTGCTGCTCATTGGGGTAGAGAACACACTAAGAGGATTACAACAGGGGTTGAGAGAAGGGAGGCAAAAGCCGATATTCTTGATGCATATGTTTTAAAATTGGCTTGAGATAGAGATATCAGTGCCTAGCCCCTGACTGTTCTTTTAAATTTCCTATTGACAAGTAGAACCTTTCCTACAGAGAAAAATTTGGAACATATAATCCCCATTTGTAATGTGGGAGTCAGATATAACCCTGACAATTACAACCTGTTGCTCTCTTATCCATTTCAAAAACAGATTTGGAATCTACTACACATTGACAATTTGGTGAATACATTTTTCAACATCTCTCTATTGTTACTTAAATTGGCAACATTTTTAGATTGACTCAGTTTAAGGGCAATCAAACTAGATGTTTCCATGAAATGGGTGAGATTTAAACTTCATGGTAGTTAATATCAAATGAGATATTTCATGAGGAGAATAGCTTTAGGAATGCCTGGTTATGGGAAAATATAGCAGAAAAATGGACTCCAGTGTTTGGCAGGTCATATATTCTGCCAGACTCAAAAGGAAACTTATTTTAATTCTAGCCTTTCAGTACATGGCTTCACAGACATCAGCAGGACATTAGTGACAACTTTCTGTATGATGGAAACGGCAAGAAAAACATCAAATTATAATTTTGGAATTATGGTATACTTGTTACAATTTAGCTTGTAAATTCAGTAGTTATGGATGCTAGTAGAATGCATTCATAATTACTGAAGTACTGTATTATTCTGGCATTATTCTTTTTGTCATAAAGGAGGCTGGGAAACGACAAACAACTCTTTGCTGTTCTATTTCTTTGGAGAGCAAGTCATTGAAAAATGATATTTTGTATAAATTATGTATATACTGAAGCAAATACAAAATGCTAGTTAAAATTTTGAACGGATTGCCATTAGCATAGGACACGGGACTTGACTTAAAAGCCCAAGTCCTTCTCTTATATTCAGACCAGTTAGATCTTAGATATTTTGCCGTGTTTGACTGCATAATTTTGCCTTGCTGATATTTTCTACTCTCAACTCTTTCCATTTCTTGGCCTTAGAAGTAGGTGGACTGGTCAGCTATAAAGTTAGAGCATAGAAACAATAAGAGAGAACAGAAATTACATGAGGAAAGAGATTGTATAACATTTTCTTTAATTAGCTGTGATTTTTACTTATGTGTAAAATTATTCAAATTGACCCTAAATGCATTATCAAAAATGAACATCATGTAAAATTTCTTTGCAATAGAATAAACAATTTGTTCAAATGAGGGTTGTGCTCTATGAACTTCTTTCAAGAAACATTTCATTGTCTCGTGTTCTGTTTCTTAGTAAATGTGCAAGAGAAGATCATAAGTGGTTCTTTTCTTATTTTGAATTTGCACAAGAATATTGAAGGCTACTCCACCTTCATTAGCTATTTGGGAAAAATAATTAAACAAGTTTTAACTGGCCCAGCATGTGTATGCATTGCTTTATCATTGACTGCTTCTACATCAGCACAGTTTATTCAGAAAACAAAATTATAATGGTCACATAAAGGACCTATATGTGTAAGTGTTTAAAAGAATAAAAGAGAATTGTTTTGATTCTCAGTAAGACTTAAAAATGTTTTTAATGACATATATGATAGTATGCATTTAGACACCAGTCTCAATCTAAATGTTCTTAAACACATATGCGCATGCATGTGTGTACACGGGCGCGCGCACACACACACACACACACATACATACATATGGCATATTATGTTGTGGATTGTCAGAGCACTTTTTTTTCTTAAATCCCAACTTTCATAGTCCTTAACTTCCCACCCTCGTTTGGTCTAAAGCTAAGCTATCAAATTAATTTAAAAAGTGAAGTCACAGAAGAAAAATGTAATGGCCATTGTCAGTTTTAAACGTATCAGAACTCCAGACTTGGCAGGATTTTTTTTTTTTTTAATAACACAATATAAAGCTGGGTTAGTGGGCCTTGCTGTGTCTGTTCTATGTAGAATCACTTGGGAACTGTCCAGCAAAATATCTCTTGAAGAACAGCATGGTGTTAATACTGGGTGCCAGCCCAAGGCAGAGACAAAGGACCCCTTCACTCTTCACCAATAAGCCAACTGTTAAAAGATTAAACCATGTTGTGGAGATAACAAGAATATAGGCGCTGGCAGCAGGTGCTGTACAAAGAAGCAGTTGGCTGTATGGTTCTTCTGTCTGACTAATTTCAGTCAAAACAATCTTCTGCCCAGTTGCAGAGGGGAGTTTTGAGTGTGATGGCAACTTGGAGTTAGGAGGTTGAGTAACACTGCTACTTTAAATGCTGAGTCCTGTGGCAAATGGATTAGTACAATGTAGTTTATCATTGTTCAGAAACTGTGGGGATTCCCCTCCAGAATCCAGGCACTGTAAGCACTATAAGTCAAATCTGCTTAGGTGGTGGTGTTGCTGTATTTTTTAAAATTTCATTTTCACATATAGGAGTCTTATGACGTTTTCTTCTCTTGAGAAGTGACTTTCATTACAGAATAATTACCACATATATTAGTTTTATCCTTATGATAGTACCTGATCACACTTGTAAAATTTTTCCTTTTAAATCATCATTGAATTTGTGCATTAAAAAAATAATTTGCTACTCAACAAATATCTAGCATTAGCATAGATGTAGAATGGATGTTTTAGTGTTAGGAAATAAATTGTTATTGAAGCAACATCATTTATTGGGTTTTAAATATAAATTGGCATATTCCTATAAGCATACACAAATAAATATTGGTACTAAAAAACCTAGAATAATTACTCAGTGAAAGTGATCGTATAATTTAGGAGATAAAGTTTATTAAGTATGAAGTAATAGAATTCCTACAAGTGATGTGAGTGCCTAATAATTTGACAATTAGGTCTAAGTGAGCAATGCTAGAAGGTGCACAACACCTTTGGCATATGTAATCTGATAAGGAACACAGGAGATGTGGGTGCAATGTCTCCCCCTTCAGTACCCCCTATCCATCCCCACAACTATCTCTAAAGTCTCAGCTCATATTTCTTTATTCTTAGGAGATTGTGTGAACTCCCAGCTATTTTCCCTGTCTTTGATGTCTTCATTCTACAATCTGTTATCCTCTACCCTTATCAGATCAACCTTACTAAAATCTGCTGTTAGCAAGATATGTTTGATTATTAAAAAGTCAGGAAACAACAGATGCTGGAGAGGATATGGAGAAATAGGAACACTTTTACACTGTTGGTGGGAGTGTAAATTAGTTCAACCACTGTGGAAGACAGTGTGGCGATTCCTCAAGGATCTAGAACCAGAAATGCCATTGACCCAGCAATCCCATTACTGAGTATATACCCAAAGGATTATAAATCATTCTACTATAAAGAAACATGCACATGTATGTTTATTGTGACACTGTTCACAATAGCAAAGACTTGGAACCAACCCAAATGCCCATCAATGATAGACTGGATAAAGAAAATGTGGCACATATACACCATGGAATACTATGCAACCATAAAAAAGTTCATGTCCTTTGCAGGGACATGGATGAAGCTGGAAACCATCATTCTCAGCAAACTAACACAAGAACAGAAAACCAAACACCACATGTTCTCACTCATAAGTGGGAGTTGAACAATGAGAACAAAGGGACACAGGGAGGGGAACATCACACACCAGGGCCTGTCAGTGGGTGGGGAGCTAGGGAAGGGATAGCATTAGGAGAAATACCTAATGTAGATGACGGGTTGATGGGTGTAGCAAACCACCATGGCACGTGTATACCTATGTAACAAACCTGTTTGTTCTGCACATGTACCCCAGAACTTAAAGTATATATATAAAAAAAAAGAAGGCTTTCACTGGCTCCCTGCTGTCCACCTGACTCCATAGCTTTGCACTTGACACTTTCTACAGTTTGGACAAATTTACTTTTTGAGTCTACCTGCAGATCCTAAGACACATTGATTAAGCTTCCTTGCCTTTACTTGGAATACCTTTTTATTCTTTATTACTCCTGTCAAACTGTCCCCATCCTTCAAGGCCTGCTTTACATGTTAACGTCTTTCAAGATGCTCCACCTTTAGGTTACTCCAGCAGAAATGAGCGTACCATTTTTTCATGCCTATAATAACACTATTTAATCATTCATGTGGAGCTTAACATGAAAGGCAGGTGGGGAGAGAGAGAGAAGTTGCCTCTACTCTGTTGTATGTTTCTTTGGGTCAGGAAAAAATATTTTATAATATTCCACACCACACAGCATAGGGTCTTGCATAATAGAGTTGGTGCTCAACAAATATTGATTGAATTGAATTAAAGGGGATTGAATGCTACTTTTTGAAAAGAGGTATCAATCAGAATAAATAATGTTCTAGGATAACTTATTTTGGGTAAGTGTGTTGAGGAGTTTAACTCTTAGACTATGAGTTAAAAATGCATACTTCTTCTTATGATACAGGTAGATCCCAATATTGTCCTTCATGCCTCTGTTTCCATTGGAAAGTGGAGTTTCTCAGGCAGTGAAGCAAGCAGCAGGAGTCAAATAGCGCCATCGATCCTGTGGCCTGTAGCCAGTGTGTGGCTGATCACCAAGGTACCTAAGAGTGTCTGCTTTTGCTGAGTGACCTCCCCTTGCTTGCTGGCTCACGGCACTTGCTGGCACCTGGTGCTCTCATGCACATGGGCATACAAGTGAAAGCGTGATAAATTGTTGGCTGTTATAGATGCCATCTCTGCCGTTGGTATTGCCTAGCCCACGGGACTTCTGTAGATTCTCAAATGAGCATTCAGTTCACTATCAGACATGCTGCTGATTAGTTTATACCTCACAGTGTATTTAAACCAAGCATAGAATTTGTTTGTAGTCCACAGACTCATCATTTTCATGAGATTTGTCTGAATGTGCTTCTACTCCTAGATCTTCATTTTGAGTTTTACCCCTCAGCTTTCCTGAGCCTGGTAGATTACCAACATATACCAACTTTGCATATTGTCTTAGCAAGGACGTAGTTTTAAAAGAAATCCCTGAGTATAAACATGAGCAGTGCCTAACACATTTTGTTCCTGTGTGTTGGTAATATTTAATATTTTTCACTTTATTATTGTACTATTGTATATGACTTATAGAAGAACATAAAATTGTCCTTTCCTTTCATCTTACTACTGCAGTACATTTTGTAAATATGTATTTATGTTGAAAAGAGATGATGCAGTTCACAATTATCTTTCCTGTATCTCCCTTTGTCCCGTCATCACAGATGATTTTGCTACTACTTAGCACTCCTGTGAATGCGAAGTCACCCAATGAAGTTTGCTGGGAGGAGGGAAGATTGACACTATTTTCGCAAATGAAATTTTGGATTGCCCTTAGCTATTGTTCTTTAAAAGTTAAAAACAAACATATAGAATAATTAAGACACAAAGGTACTAAGACATATTATTTATTTCATATATCACAGCATAGTAAGTTTACATGAGCTTTTCCTGAAATCTGGATTTCCAGCTGGAGTCTATGTTAACTATTTGCCCTTTTTACATGGTATTTTGTTTCTGATTTAATAATAATAACATCTCCACTTAGTTGAATACTGTATGTCAGACATTACATTAGGTACTTTATTCACATTCATTATTTCATTTAATGTTACAAGAACTGTGCAGATTTTTATTATACAGCTGAAGAAACTGAGGTTAGTAATAGCAGAAGAAAGATTCTTGGTCTCTTTGACTTCAGAACTTTCATTGTGATATAAAACACTCCTCTATATTTGACTCACCTGTGAGCATAATGGAAGTGTTTTAGTCCCAGCACTGCCACTGAATAACTATATGACAGCAGACAAGTCACACATGGTATCTAGGCCTTGGTGTTCTATCAAAAAGAGTTGGACCAGTTGCTATGGAAGGTCCATTCTCAGATCCCATATTCTTTCATTTCATGGTATCTGTTTCTAGAATTTCATGATAGCAGAAAACATGTACTTGTCTAAAATCTCCTCAAAAATAATTGGAATGCCTACCAAAAGAGTATAGTTTTGGAGTTATTAAATAATTGAAATCTCTTGTGTGACATTGGGAAAGTTACTTAGCTGCATTGAACTACTGTTTTCTCTTCTATAAATGATGTTAGTCTTATCTGCTTTGCACAGTTGCTGTGAAGATGAAATGAGAAAGCATATGTGATGTTCAAGCATGGTGTCTGGTATACAGAAAGTGCTTAATAAATGATGGCTGCCTTTCCTCACCCTAAGCAGTTCTTTTTTCTGTATAGACAAGCATGATCAAACAAGGATTTCATTCAGTACTTACTAAAACCAATTTTTTTTAGAAATATTTTTCGTAAGTCATCAGTCATCATCATGTTTCTTTTCCACACTGCAAACACATGAGAAATAAAGTATATGCTAAAAAGGAAACAATTCTGAAAATCCTTTAAGATTGAACTCTCTCTTCCTGTTTTAAAAATACATCTTTTTACCTATTAAGAGAGAATTTTACGTGCCATAAATCTCCAGTAGATGTAGACAAATTTCTCTATGGTTGTCACTTATAAAAAATGTTGTGTTGACTCACTAAGTAAGAAAATGGTTAAATGGCCCTTCAAGCAATATTCCCCTTTAATTTCCTTGGCAGAAAATCCTAACATTTAAAATAAAAGCAGTTCACAAACCACCTTAAAATGTTTAACCCATGATATTTAGACCCAGAGTAAAACTTTAAATTGATACAAAGGTTAAGGATTTGTTTCAGTCTTTTCAGTTCACTGCACTATTTTTTTTCTGTGCATACATATTTCCGGTAAGCTCTGTAGTTATAACTACAGCAAGTGACACGTGATGGACCCCAAATTGCTGCACTGTGAAATATGCACAGAAAAAAAAAGACAAATGAAGATATCAAGGTCTGTTTTATTTCGCACTGAACTGTAAAATGCCACCCTTGTTGGACAGAAGATTACTGATTCTGAGCAGGGCTCGCTGACTGCTAAGTTGTGGGTAGTGTTTCACTTTCAGCAACTGTTAATATCCAGGGTTATCCAGGCATAATGACCTCACTATTTGTGACACATTGTTGAATTTTCTGGTTCTTTTAACTTATTTAGACCTTTCTCCCCCTCTCTATTCATTGGAAGACTGGAATGATCCTGAGCCGAGCGATAACTCAGGGCTGCCTGGCTATTGGTCATCCTATCAGAGTCAAGGCTGCTGAGGGAACATCACTAGAAGGATATAAATTAATCTTACAGAAAAGGTAATGCTTATAAATTATTTAGCTCAAGATAATAAATGCTAATTTCAAGAATTCTGAGCAGTTCAATTGTGATGCCTCCTGGTTTGGATTGAATATTCATTCAATGTTTAAATTTGTGTTCATAATAACAATATTAATTTCTGAATCCAAAGTAAGCTTGAAAATGTATGCCACTTAGTTTGGTAGTGTTTTAAAGATATTTAAAAGGTGAAATGTTGGCCTTCAACATGTATCTATGTCGTAGACAAACTGCTGCTTTACTCTATAATTATCAGAACTCATTTCTTTATATCCATTTTGATTGTTAATTAACAAACTTAAATTTTTGTGTATATTCATAACCTTTTTCCATCTTCTGAATACAAAACATTGAACTGTGAAAGAATAATCACAGAGACCAAAAAATGCTGGCTTGTAACGGACTGTAAGTGTCCTTCTTATTTGTTTTTTTCTGATTTAGGAAGATATAATAAAGGAAAGCAGATTGAGGAAGAAAGTTGATTTATCTCCAAGAGTCTCAAAATATTGTTTTCTAGTCACTTTCTTTTTTCTTGGTCTTTTGTTTTGATGTTTGTTTTCACTTAGTGTTGAAAAAAACAATTTCTATCATACCTCAGGACTTAAAAAGCCATTACCAACTACTTCTGGCTATATAGGCACTTAGGATATGCTTAGGCTGCAATCATCAGAGAAGTTGATCCAGCCATAAATACAGAAGGGAAGTTTTCTCTAACTTGCAAAGCAGATATAAGGATATCATGTAATGATTAAGAATGTGATCTACAGACTCAAATTCCCAGGTATAGATCCAGTCTGCACTGCTTACTCTAACAACAAAGTGTCTAAGCCAGATACTATTCTAATGTCCTTAAATCTCATTGTCAAATTTTATCCTTACAACAATCTGATAGGGTAGGTATCATTATTATCTTTACAGGTGAGGATATTGAGGTACAGAGAAGTTAATCACCTGCTCAAGGCCATACCTACTAAGTGGTTTGGCAGGAAGGCAAACCCAAGCAGTCAGGCCCTATAACCTGAAAGTAGACACTTAGCCACAACACTACACTGTCAGTCAGTTAAAGTCCAGTCAGACAATTGCCAGTGAGCGCCAAGTGTGGTAGCAGATACCTTAGTGGATGAGCAGGGTACATCACTTGAAAAAATCAGGCAGATGGGAAAGGAAGATGTTAGCTTGGTGTTATGCAAACTCTCCAGTGCTAATAGAGTCCTAAATACATAGTTCCTAAGTAGTGGCAGACAACCCTAAAGCAAGTCTCAGTTTGGTATGGAACTGTACGCAGACTGGGTAATAAGATTTCTGAAGCAAAATGAGTTCTGTAAACTAGACTCACATTGAGCATGAACTTGCAATGCCAATGCCAATGCCAATGCGAAACTATGGAACAGGGAGCCAGAGATGCTTCAGCTCATTTAGTCCACAGTTATACTAAAGAGAAAAATCAATCAATTGTAACTGACCCAAAAATGACACAGATGATAGAATTACTGGATGGGACATTAAAGCAGCTGTTTTAACTGTATTCTGTATATTCAAGAAGCTAGAGGAAAGATTGAACATGTTAACTAAATACATGGAAGATATAAAAGAACTCAAATTTCAAGAGATTAAAACTACAATATATGAGACAAAGTATACTAAACATGTCTAATGCCAGATTAGACAATGTGGAAGAAAATAGCAGTGAACTTGAGAAGATAACAAAACTATTCACAAGGAAAACCGGAGAGAAAACAAATACTTCAAAAAAAAAAAAAAGAACGGAGCATCAGTGAGATGTGAGAAAATTTCATATGGCCCAATTTCTGAGTATTTATAGTCTCTGACAGGTTAAAGCAAGGAAAAGAAAAATATTGGAGGAAATAGTGTCTGAACAATTTCTATGTGCAAAATTGAGAGCTATAACCCACTGATCCAAGGAACTCAACAAATTCCAAGCACAAGAAGCATGAAGAGACAAAACCAAGGCACATTATCATAGAATTGTTTAAAATTAGTGATAAAGAGAAAATCTTAAAAGCAGAGAGAACAGGCGTATTATGTACAAGAGGAGCTAAAATAAGGCTGACAGCAGATTTCTTGTTGGTAACAATGGAAGTAAGAAGACAGTGGAAAAACATCTTTAAAATACTAAAAGAGGAGGTGGGGAGGAACCCGTTAATATAGAAAACTTTCCCCAGTGAAAATGTCTTTCAAAAATTAAGGCAATATAAAGACCTTAAGATATTCACAAACTGAAGAACTCATCACCAGCAGATCTTCATGACAAGCAATGTTAGAGGAAGTCCTTCAGACAGAAGTAAAATGATACCAGATGGAAATATAGAGCACTGGCAATGGTGACTATATAGGTAATATAACAATGCTACTAGGCCTGGCATGGTGGCTCATGCCCGTAATTCCAGCATTTTGGGATACTGAGGTGGGCAGATCACTTGAGCCCAGGAATTTGAGACCAGCATGGGTGACATGTGGAATTCCATCTCTACAAAAAATAGAAAAATTAGTCAGGTTCAGTGAAGGTCTACACCTGTAGTTCCAGCTCCTTGGGAGGCTGAGGCAGGAGGTCGAGGCTATAGTGAGCCATGATTGCACCACTACACTCCAACCTGAGTGACAGAGCAAGCCTGTGTGTCAAAAACAAAACACCCCCAAAACCCCACAGTGCTAATTATTTTTGTCTCTTTAAAAAATAATTGATTGTTTAAAGCAATAGTGATAATAATAATATATTGTGGAGATAATATGTAGAAATAAAATGTGTGATGGAAATAACACAAATGCCACTAGGAGAGAAATGGAAGAAAGATTTTTTTATACCATTTGTGAAATGATGTGATATCAAATGAAAGTAGATTATGATAAGTTAAAAATATATAATCACCAAAGCAATCATTAAAATAGTAGAGAGTTATAGCTAACAAGCCAAAAAAGTAAATAAAATGAAATATTAAAAATAATTAATCCAAATCAAGACAAAGAGGAAAAGGGGAACAAAGAACAGAAATAGAAAATAAATAACAAGATGGTAGGCTTAAAGCCACGTGTATCAATAATTGCATTAAATATAAATAATGTAAACACCCCATTTAATAATCAGACATTATTAGATTAGATAAAAAACAACATCCATCTATATGCTACCTATAAGAAATTAACTTTAAATATAAAGAAACAAATATGTTGAAAGTAAATTCATGAAAAATATATACAATGATAAAATTAATACAAAGAAAGTAAGAATGGATATATTAATATCAGATAAAGTAGACGTCAGTAAAAAGAATATTACTAGGGATAAATAGGGCCATTTGATGATTAAGGGGTTAATTTATCACGAGAACATAACGATTCTAATTTTTTAAAAATGGCACAGCTTCAAAATACCTGAAGTGAAAGCTGATAGAATTGCCAGGAAAAAGAGAAACATCTAAAACTCTAGTGAGCAACAATAATACCCTGTTTCATAATTAACAGAACAAGTGAAAAAATCTGTAAGGATATAGATGACTAGAATAACATTACAGACCAACTTTACCTAATTGATATTTATAGAAAAATGCATTCAATAACAGCAGAAGATGCATTTTTTAAAGTACATAGCATGTTAACCAAAATAGTCTATATAATGGCTATGAAACAAGTTTAAATAAGTTTAAGAAAATTCAAGTAATATAGAGTGTGTTCTCTGATGATAATGGAGTTAAACTAAAATATAGTGGCAAGTTTTCTGCAAAACCCCCAGATATTTGAACACATTTATAACAAACCCATGAATCAAAGAAGGCATCAAAATGGAAATTAGCAAGTATTTTGAACTGAATGAAAATGAAAATACAACATATTAAAATTTATGAAACACTGCCGAGGTTTTCAGAGGGAATGTTATATAAATGTCTGTGTAAGAAAAGAAGAAAGATATTAAATCAATGACTTCAGCTTCCACTCTAAGAAACTGTAAGAGCCAATGAAACACAAAGTAAGCAGAAGAAATGGGATAATAAAAGAGTGGAAATCAGTAAAATAGAAAAAAAAGAAAACCAATGAAATTAAAAGCTGGATTTTTTTGAAAAGATTAAAAAAAACTAATAAATCTCTAGTCAGATTGTTCAGATAAAAAGAGAGGACACAAATTACCTGTATCAGCAATGAGAGATATCACGCAGTTATTAAAGGGATGATAAGGGAATATTTTGAACAACCATGTGCCAGTAAATTTGTCATTTAGGTGGTAAAGACCAATTCCCTTAAAAGACACAAATCACCAATGCCTACTCAAGAAAAAATGGGAAACCTGAATAGTCCTACATCTCTTAAAGAAATGGAAAACCTTCCTACAAAGAAAACTCCAGACCCAGATTACTTCACTAGCTTCACTGGGAAATTCTGCAAACATTTTAGGAAAAATAATACCAATTCTACACAATCTTATCCAGAAAAGAAATAAGAAGGAATACTTCCCATCTGATTCTAGGGGGTCAGCATTATCCTGGTCACAAAACTTAGGGAAAAAATCATAGACCAGTATCTCTCATGACTATAAGTGCAAAAAATGATTAACAAAATTTTAGCAAATGGAATACAACAATTTATAAAAAGATGTATCATGAACAAGTGGGGTTTATCCCAGGAGTGCAAGAATAGCTTAAGAATAATTAGCTCTAAATGATCATAGACCTAAATGTAAAACCTAAAACTGTAGGTATCTTAGATAAAAACATAGGAGAAACTATTTGTGACCTTCCATTAGGCAAAACTTTCTCAGATATGACACCAAAAGCATGATCCACAAAAATAAAAATCGACAAGTTACACTTCAACAATATTAAACATTTCTATTCTCTGAAAGACAGTGAATGAAGAGAGAATGAAAAGACAAGCCACACACAAGATGCAAATATTTGCAAGTCATATATATTTGCAAAATACATACACACAATTCAAGAAAACATGGGGATAAATGATTTGGAGAGTTACTTTAACAGGGAAGATATACAATTGGCATATGAAAATATGCTCAACACTATTATTCATTAGGGGAATGCCAAATAAACCTACAATGAAGCATCACTACATATTTGTTAGAATGTCTAATCTTTAAAAGATTGACCATACCAGTATTGGTGAGTATGTGGTACAACTAGAACTCTCATAAGTCGTTGGTGGAAATATAAAGTGGTTTAGTTACTTTGGAAAACAGTTGATACTTTCCTAAAATATTAAGCATCCATCTACCTTATGACCCAGCCATTCTACTCCTAGAAATTTATGCAAAGAAAATGAAAGCATACATTCATACGAAGAATGTATACTTTGTTCATGTATAAATGTTCATAGTGGCCAGGCATAGTGGCTCACACCTGTAATCCCAGAACTTTGGGAGGCTGAGGGAGGAGGGAGGGATTGCTTGAGACCGGGAGTTTGAGACCAGCCTGGGCAACATAGTGAGACCCTGTGTCTACAAAAATTAAAAATTTTTAACTAAAAAATTAAAAATTATCTGAGCATGGTTGTGTGCCCCTGTAGTCTCACCTACTCAGGAGGCTGTGGCAGGAGGATTGTTTGAGCCTGGAAGGTCGATGCAGCAGTGAGCCGTGATTGCACCACTGCACTTCTCCCTGAGTGACAGAGCGAGACCCTGTGTCAATCAATCAATCAATCAATCAATCAATGTTCTTAGCAGCTTTATTTCTAAAAGCCTACAGAAAAAAAAACTAGAAATAACTCAAATGTCCATCCCATCCATAGGTGAACAGATAATCTATACAATAGAATACCCAGCAATAAAAAGGAATAAACTCTTGATATATTCAACAATGTAGATGAATCTCAAAGTAATTACGCTGAAGGAAAGTAGAAAATAAAACAAAAAAAGTACATATTGTTTGATTCAATATATATATAATTTAGAAAATGCTAACTAATGTAGAGTAATGGAAAGCAGATCAGTGGTTGCCTGAAGATAGGATGATGGGGAAGGGACAGGAGGGAGAGATTAAAAAAGGGCATAAATAAACTTTAGGAGTGATTCATTTTGCATGACAGATGTGGATATGTTCATTATCCTGATTGTTGTGTTGCTTGCACAGATGTATATATATTTCAAAACTTACCAAATTTTACCCTTTGAATATGTGCCTACTAATTGTGCAATACTGTATGTCAATTATTTTTCAATAAAGCAGTTTTTTTTAAAAAAAAAAACCTTAAAAACAATTAAGAAAAAATAAAAATGATAAGGAATGACTAAATGGTTACTTTAGAAGGAGACAGTGAGAGAAGGCCTTTCTCAATGGGATAGTTCATCAATGGCCTAGGTCAAAATGGCAGGTGATTGGAAAGTTATAGATAGCTTGATGGGCATACTCTTCATGCCCAGGACTCTCACTAGGCACACCGGATACTGAAAGTACTGCAACATCTCATCAGCTGATCTGGTCTTAGCCCATTGAGGCTAAGCCCATTACCTCAGTGGGCTAAGACCAGATCAGCTGATGAAATATTGAGGTCTACTTCTACTCTGGTCAAGATTGTCATGGAATTGAGTGGGCTGAGGCTGAAGACTCAATGTTCTTATTACCTATAGAGGAGAAAGCTTGGGCAAGAAAAGAGATGTTCATGAAACAAGCAAACAAACAAAAATAAGAAAAGATTTTGTTTAATCTAGAAAAGAAGGAAGGAAGAGAGGGAGGGAAGTACTTAAGTTGAAGGCAAGTTGCATTAATACAAAGGCATATCATCCTAATTGTGTAGGGATCCTCCCTCCTGCTCACCTTTTAACTTGCCTTTATCCAAAAAGCGAAATCCAAGGTGGAGCCAAAATAGGAAATTTAGAAAACTGGAAGTTCTCACTGACTATGAAGTTATACTTCATTTTAGAAAGCAGGAAGGACCAAAATTTTTAGAGTTTACCTCACCTCTGGGTAATTTCAAACACATTTATCTTTTCCAGGACATCTAAAATGACTGTGTGACTTGTTTTTTTTTAAGATAACCATATTTTATTATAAATAACAATAAATATCTTCATGTGACAGCAATTTCTAGAGATAAAAATTTTCTCTTTTTCTAAGTAGTATATAATTTTAACAAAAGCTGTGAATCAAGACATAGCCTTTACATGCTAGAAATAATAGAACTAGTACTTAAAGTAGCAACCTGACAACTCACAAAAGAATATTATAAACATATCATGCCTCATTAGTTCAATTATGTCTCATTTGGTGTTAATAATCTTATTCTTATTCAATATAGCAAGTGCTCGTGTGTATTTTCCCTTTTAATATATATATTTTTCTATCTGTGCATCTGACTGTTAATGGATGAAAGGTAAACCAACAATCTCTTTACCAGGTGACCTAAACCATCTCAAAAATCATTTAAAAATGCTATTTTCCAAAAGATATTTTGGACACCTTACAGATAAACTAGTTGAATCGAAGTTATTTTTCAGAGCACCATTCAATATTGATATTGCTTCATTTTTAAGGATTGCAGATATGCAGGGTATCTGGACTTTAGTGTTCAACTAAAAAACTAACATAACATCAAACACTTGCACACACATGCACGCACAGAGGAAGATTAGATTATAAAGGTTAAAAACTGTTAACCCATGGATTTTGTTTGGCTTGCATGTTATTACAATTTTTGAATTAGTCGTGAGCCTATAGAAATAGGAAGATTTCACACAAAAGTGACATACTTCTGGCTTTTCTTGAAAAAATCTGAAATGGGTTTTCATTTTTTCAGAAAAAATCTGAAATGGCACTGGATCTGAATTCTGTCATGACACCCATCAGGAAGGAACTGAGTGGTGATGTCCCCTTTAGATGGAACATACATCCTCCAGTTTGCCATATTCTCCACCGTTCCCTTTGGCAGCCCTCATGCTGGCTCTCACTGCTTCATGAATTTCTAATACCTGTCTGGCCCATAAAAGCTTTTGAATTTGCAAAAGCCCCTACATGTAAAATCAATGGACTAATGGACCTGCCAAAGGAGACCTCTTTTCTATCTTTAGTCTGTACGTTTCTTAAATCAGAATAAATACAGAACTGAATGTTCTATCTTAAAGATGATCCATAAAAGAAGTTTCAGACTTACATGGAACCCTGTCCAATTTCAAGTAATCTTTACCGTCTTTCATATTTCAAGGTTAATTTTTCAGTTATAGCTTTTTGCATCCATTTTTTTTATTGCCATTTAGGTCTTGCTAAAAATGGAGTGACAACTGGCAAACATTACCGGACTAGGTTAAAAACACACGCTGCTTTAAGGACTCCTTTACATACAATCAGCAAGTGTAGCTGTATAATGTTAAGGAATAGCAGCAGACAGAAGTTGTATTAACACATATAGGTTACACCATTAGAAACGTCAACATCAAATAGAAAGTTGTCCATGTGTAATTTCACACTATGTGGATTACTGAATGAACCTTGTCTTTGTTCTTACTATGTTATGAATTATGGACTGGAAATCACTTTCCCCATCCTCTACGTGCATTCTACTTTTGGCCCGGGTAGCATTGGTAGACACCAGAGCCATTTGAGGCTGTCTGAGAAAAGAAACTTGTGATCCTGAAGCATGATAATAGCCCTCCATATAGTTACCAGGAAATGATGAATGTGTGAGTGTATAAACACATACAAACAGATATATATATATGTGTAAATGTATTACACACATATATATGTGTAAATGTATTATGCACATATATATGTGTAGATGTATTACACACATATATGTGTGTGATGTATAGATATAGATATCTATATCTATATCATATCTGTATCTATATCACATATCGATATAGCTGTATGGGTGATATCTGTATCTATATTACCTATATAGACATTTAACATATGCATGCTTAATAGGGTTACACTACTTAGCAAGCTTCCCAGGGCAGATCATTCTCAGTTCCCTCACTTGTAAAATGAGAACACTTGGAAGTCATATGATTTCAGAGAAGGAAGGATCTGAAGAATGCCTGCTTCAAAATTCTCTTTACTAGTGGTAGTAGAGGTGGTGATAATGGCAGTTGTGATAAGAGTATCATCATTATTAAAAAAAAATTGCAAGGCCACTAGAGACTAAGTGATCTACTAAAGGTCATATGTCTAGTTAACGTTAGATGCAGGACTAGAACTCAAGTCTCTCAACCTTAGTTCAGTGTATGTCATGATATTATGACTGATTCTTGGATGGAATATAGCTCCTCCATTTTCCCTTCCTTTCGTTATTGATGTCGTTGTTATTTTTTGTTTTTAAAAAATCTTTTTAGCTTGGTGCTTTTTGATCAAGAAGAGGAGAGTCTATGATATCATTCTCTAAATCAGTCTCATCTGAGCATCACTGTATGTTGGATCTAAATTTGATTTTTCTGCATATGAAATGTCTTGAAAAATAGGCAGATACACTTTTGTGTGTAGAAATTTTATTTCTTTAAGAAGTTATTGTAAATTAGAATGATACCTTTTCATCCAGCCTAACGTGGCACTTCATGAGAGGTTTGTTTTTTTACAACTTCGGTAAAATTTAGGGACAACATTTATAGATTTAAGTAGACTACCAACAGGAGTGATACTAGTAAGCTCCCAGAGGTTATAGATTATATAAGACTACATGGTTTTAGTAGAATTTTCTAGGAAAAGATATGCCAGAACAGAATTGAAGCTTGATAAAATTTGACAAATGCTAGTAAATTTGCATTTCTTTCAGAATTATTTCTTTTCTTTTCTTTTCTTTTTTTTTTGAGATGGAGTTTCACTCTTGTTGCCCAGGCTGCAGTGCAATGGCATGATCTTGGCTCACCGCAACCTCCGCCTCCTGGGTTCAAGCGATTCTCCTGTCTCAGCCTCCCGAGTAGCTGGGATTGCGGGCATGTGCCACCACACCCGGCTAATTTTTTTGTATTTTTAGTAGAGACGAGGTTTCACCATGTTAGCCAGGATGATCTCAATCTCCTGACCTCGTGATCCACCCGCCTCGGCCTCCCAAAGTGCTGGGATTACAGGCGTGAGCCACCATGCCCGGCCTTATTTCTTTTTTTCTTAACAAATGTGTAATTTATCTTCTTTAGCCATCTATCAAAAAGATCTTTTAAGTTCCCTAAACAGCCATATATTAAATTTAAAACATTTTCAGATGGCTTTATGATTAATTTTTAGGGTAGTAACATTCTGACACTTTATTCACGTTTTTATTTATTCAAAGATAGCTTTAATATCCTGTTACATGCCAGGCCTTGTGATCAGCTCTGAGGATACATGGTCTCTGCCCTCACACAGTTGCCAGCTTGGTGGACATCTTTTCTGTTGTATTAGTTTTGAGAGAAGATGCTGTAAGTTCAGAAAGTCGAAACTCAAATCAGCATAATTCATCATCAAGGCAACACCGTAATTCGATAAAAAGACAAAATTCTGAATTTTACAGATTTGTATGGTTAACATCAGTTTATTAATTGCCAATTGCAGATGTCGTATACTTTGAAAAATTATCATTTGCCATTTCATTTATCTCGAAGAAATATACTCACAATAATTTATGAAACAGGAGAGATTGCTTGTAAGCAATGAAGCTGCATTGAGTTATAGCCCCTACACATTAAAATGATCTAAATTTTATCGCAACCCAACACATTTCTATCAAAGCATTACAGCAATCACTCTTTTTTATTATTTTGAAAAGAGTATACTTCTAAGCTTGGGATTGACAGCTTTAAAGACTAGCAATATTGTTTTTGTTATTTCTTCATTCAGGGTTTGAAATATGAACTTTCTCAGTACCTTAGGAGAATTTGTTATAGTATAAAACTGGTGATTATTTTAATACAGTTGTATAAAAACATTATGATTATATCAATATGTATTAAGTTACTGAGATTGTGTCAAATTATAATTAGTGAGACTAAGATGTTGACTCCATTTTCAGTCTTCCACTTACACAAAATAACTTCCATTATACTTTTCTGATCTAATTGAGATGTTGAGCTTAAGTCAGACATTCTGGGTTCTGGTTCCTATTTGTATAATAACTAGTGCTGTGATTTTGACCAGCTCACTTCATCTCTCTGCATCTCATTTTATTCATCTATAAAATGAGAACTCAACTGGGATAGCCCCTCACTTCCATTCAAATTCTCACAGTCTGTTTTTTCTTGGATAATCATTATTATCATAACCATCATTTTAGTTCTGGACCCCAAGTCAAAATTTAAAAAGCTTCTCTTTTCCTTTATTAATTATAATATAGAAAGATCCTCAGAAAGACAACTTCCCCCAATACCTTCATCACCCCACCTAATGCTGAAGTTGTTTTGAGCAACAATTACATTGTCAAAGCCTTAGAATGGGATCCTTAGCTTAGGGGTCAGTTATACCCTGAAAGATATTTTATTTAATATTAAACACTTTTACATAACTATTAGAACTCTTCTTATTTTTCACATCTCTGCCTGCCTCTGCTCCATTCTCATTTCATTTTCCTTTAATAGTGTCATGTTCCTCTTCTTTTCCCAATTTTGACATCTGAGACTTACCCTTATCTACTCTCTCTAACCTCCACCTCATTTATTCAATCATCAAATCATTTCTCCTTTATAATATTTTTGTAGTTTTCTCTACTTCATACACTTCACTTCTGATATTAGATGTGTTATTTTTTTTTTCACATCAAGCAATTCTTCAGTTCTCAGTGGACACCTGCTGTGTGTCCTACAATTCAATTTAGTTCTGCCACTATCTACCAGGAGTTAGCATTAGATCCCACAAGTTAAGGGCTCAGTCCCACAAGACTGCCTTCACTTAAAACACCAGTCACAAGTCCCAGGTTATCACCTATACTCCTGACCAACCAGCTATATGTCGGGATTCTCATGACCCCCTCGTTGGGTTTGATAATCTGCTAGAATGGCTCACAGAACTCAGAGAAACATTTACTTATGTTTACCAGTTTATTATGAAGGATATGATAAAGGATACACATGAACAGTCAGATGAAGAGGTACACAGGGCAAGGTCTGGAAGTGTCCTGAGGACAGGAGCTTCTGTTCCTGTGGAGTTGGGATGCACCACCCTCCTGGCACATGGATGTGTTCACAAACCTAGAATCTTTCCAAATCCTATATTCTGTTGATTTTTATGGAGGCATGATTGATTATTAACTCATTCTCCAGCTCCTCTTTTCTCCTAAGAGAAGGCACAGGGACACTAAAAGTTCCAGTATTTGAATCATGACTTGGTCTTTCTGGTGACCAGCCCTCATTCAGGAGCCTTCCAAGAATCCCCTCATTAGGACAAAAGATGCTTCTATCACTCAAGGAATGTCAAGGGAGTTAGAAGCTCTGTGCCCAGAACCCAGCACAGAGACAACATGTTTCTTACTATTTCTAAGTTTAAACATTTGATTTTTCATTTCCTCACTGCCCTCATTATTCTAGTACATGGTTTCCAAAGTTTGGCTTATTAACCACACACATAGAAATCCCCAGAATTTTATAATTGGAATAACTTGAAACACCTGTTAATGTATATTTTTTGGGTGGGGGGTGGGTCCACACCTTCAGAATCAAAACCTCTGAGGCTAGGATTCTAGACACCTACATTGTTATTAAGCATCCATTTCAACATGCCTATGAATTCTTCATATTCTTTTACATAACTGGATGTAGGCTAAAGACTAATGTGTACTGAACTAGTTTTGGATGGCTGCCTTTACATACTCTGCCCAGATCACATAGCACCTTGCTTTAGAATAGAATAGAGCATTACCTGACACCTCTTATACTCAACCTTTGATGTTTCTGTCAAAACTCAGAGGCAGTAGGAAAAGTCTTGTTTAACATCCTGTTACACTTAATTTAATTCATTTTTGTTCCACCTTTGTAAGATTTCTAAATATTAATGAATACATGATTAGTTAATTTAGGCATAATTAGCTTCATCACATTTTAGTTTTTTCTTACTCAGACTTAGCTGAGAAAATACAATATTCCCTGACAAAATTCTCTAGCTGTTTCAGAATTAGGCACGTGAGGTTCCTAATTTTCCATGGTATCTTTTTTCATACTATTCTCTTAATCTTTATACTTAATTAAGTCTCTTTCTTTGTCTCATAGAGGATCTTTTTTTGCAGGCAGAACTTTCCATAATATTCTTATTGATTGTATTTGTTCTCTAAAACTTTTGATCACTGTTGCTACTGGTAACACACATATGCACATACTTACCCCGCTTAGGGTACCAGAGCATTGTAGCAGGGAAATTGGTTGTCTTAGGGAAAGCTTTAGCTGCTGAGATAAAAGTGATGGTGGCAGAATCTTTGGTAGAGTGTGGGCAGTCCTCCTGCCAGGCTATCTGGAAAATGATCATTTTATTTAAAACCTACAAGTGTTTCTGTGGAGAGAAGATGTCAATCTCTAAATTACATTTTCGTTACAGACATAGTGGAGATGACTCTCAGAAGTGGGTGTTTGGAACTGATGGTTGCATTTATTCAAAGGTAAGGACTTTATAATCCACAGCTTTTATGCCTAAGTTTTTCTATTCCCAGATTCTTATAAAGGGTACTATCTATTGTTTAGAGCAAGAAATGCTTTTTCTGCATATATGACTTCACTCTGTACCTAGAAATTTAGAATTTAACTTAACTCAATACTTTCCTTTAACTTTTTTTTTTAATTTTAAAACACATTTTCTAAAGTCAAAAATAATTTTTCCTAATTCATTGCTATAATATTACCCAGCATTTTAGGGCATCAGTTTTCTTCTACATTGAAATGAAGAATTTGGTACTTTGGGAAACTATCAGTATCTACTACTGTTGAACATGTCTAGACAACCCAGCAATTCCCCTACTAGTCATATGCCAACAAATGGTCATATGCTTACATATATTAAGGAAACAATAAATTAATAAAATGTTAATAGCAATACTAATTCTAGTAGCTTCAGAGTTATGATTACTCAAATGGATGTCAGCAGTAGAAGGGATAAATACATTGTATTAGACACTGTGTATTCATTGGAATACTATATGGCAGGGTTGGCAAATGTTTTTCTAAAGACCCACACACTGGATAATATGTTAATGGATGGATGTGTCTACATTTCAATAAAACTTTATTTACAGAAACAAGTCAAGGTCTGTTTCTCATTTCTAAGACTTCAACAGAATGGGCTTTACTGTCTATATTTCTACTAATGTTCTCATCCCAACCACTTGAGTAATCTCTAAGAAGCTTTAGAGTTTCCCAAGGTGGCAGACGAGAGGATTCTCCAGCATTCCTCAGCCACCTGGAAGAAGCAAACCAGTGTGTAGAGATTCACACTGTGAAGTTTTATCCAAGAAGGAAAACAAGCTCAACAGACAAGCAAAAGAAAACGTAGATGCTGGGAAACAGAAGGTGGTCAGGCAGCCTGCTTGGTGGGGTCTAGCTGAAAATGGCAAGTGAATACCCAATATGGGAGAGGGAGAGTGAGTTCCTCTGTGATCTACCTCCTCCTGGGGAATCCAGGACACAGAAGAGCACCTTGAGCCTCCCAAGCCCTGGATCTCACACTGGGACACTGTGTGAGAAAGAATGACACTGGAAAGTATATCACCCATTTTCCTAGACACGGACACCAATAAGAGGATCTGAAAACCAATACAGAAATCCAAACATAAATCCAGGATTAATGAGAAATTTATCAAGGACATCTGTATCTCCAAACAAACAGCAGTTGGGCATGGTGACTCATACCTGTAATTCTAGCACTTTGGGAAGCCAAGGCAGGATTGCTTGAGCCCAGGAGTTTGAGGCCAGCATGGGCAACATGGCAAGATCCCAGCTCTACAAAATTTAAAAATTAACCAGTCCTGATGGTGCATGCCTGTGATCCCAGCTACTCAGAAGGCTGAGGTGGGAGGATTGCTTGAGTCCAGGAGGTCAAGGCTGCAGTGAGCTGTGTTCATGCCACTGCGCTCCAGCCTGGGTGACAAAGTGAGATCTTGCCTCAAAAAATAAAAATTAAATTAAATTAAATTAAGTAAACAGAACAACTGGAAATAAAATTTTCATTGAAAGAATTATAAAATGCATTTGAGAGCTTCAACAATAGACTAGATCAAGAAGAAGAAAGAATCTCAGAACTTGAACACAGGTCTTTGGAATTAATCCAGTCAAACAAAACTAAAGAAAAAAAAGAATAAAAAAGAATGAATGAGGCCAGGTGCAGTGGCTCACACCTGTACTCCCAGCACTTTGGGAGACTGAGGCAGGTGGATCACCTGAGGTCTGGAGTTTGAGACCAGCCTGACCAACATGGAGAAACCCCGTCTCTACTAAAAATACAAAATTAGCCAGGCGTGGTGGTACATGCCTGTAATCCCAGCTACTGGGGAGGCTGAGGCAGGAGAATCACTTGAACCCGGGAGGCGGAGGTTGTGGTGAGTCAAGATCGCACCATTGCACTCCAGCACTCCAGTATGGGCAACAAGAGCGAAACTCTGTCTCAAAAAAAATAAAAGAATGAATGGGCCAGGCATGGTGGTTCACACCTGTAATCTGAGCACTTTGAGAGTCCCCCACAGGGGGCTAATGTCTAGAATTTACAAGGAACTCAGCAGCAGCATAAGCCAAAACAGATAACTCCATTAAAAAGTGGGCGAAGGACGTGATAGACATTTTTCAAAAGAAGACATACAAATGGCCAACAAGGGTATAAAAAATGCTTAACATCACTAATCATCAGAGAACTGCAAAATTAAAACAAGATACTTGTTACACTAGTTAGAATGGCTGTTATGAAGAAGACAAAAATAACAGATATTGACTAGGATGCAAAGAAAAGGGATCACTTATACATTCTTGGTGGAAATGTAAATTATTATAGTGCAACCTGTATAGAAAGCAATATGGAGATTTCTCAGAGAACTTAAGATAGAACTACCATTTCATCCGGCAATCCCACTACTGGATATCTACCCAAAGGAAAAGAAATCATTATATCAAAAAGGTACATGCACTCATATGTTTATCATAGTACTATTCACAATAGCAAAGATAGGGAATCAACCTAAAGTTCTATCAGTGAACAAATAGACAAGAAAATGTGGTATATATACAGTGGAATATTATTCAGCTGTTAAAAAGAATGAAATAATATATTTTGCTGCAACATGGATGCAACTGACAGAGACCATTAAGTGATACAACTCAGAAAAAGAAAGACAAAACCCATATGTTCTCACTTATAGGTGGAAGCTAAATAATGTGTACACATGGACATAGAGTGTAGAATGATAGATATTGGAGACTCAGAAGGGTGAGAGGATGGATAATGAGAAATTACTTAATGGATGCAATATATATCATTCAAGTGATGGATGCACTAAAAGCCCAGACTCCACCACTATGTAATATAGCCATGTAACAAAATTGCACTTGTGCTTCTTAAATGTATACAAATAATAGTAATTATAAAAAAAATTTAGGCTCTGTCTACAGCTCTTCACTTCAGAGACATCACCAGAGTCACCCTTTATGATCCATTCATGGTAATATAGGCTTTGTCTATCCTGCTTTTTCAAACTCTCACAGCCTCTGTTCATTACCCGGTTCCAAAGCTACTTCCACATTTTTAAGCATTTGTTATAACAACACCCTACTTCTGGGTACCAATTTGTCTCATTTGTGCTGCTGTAACAAAATACCACAGACTGGGTCATTTATAAACAATAGAAATTTATTTCTCATACTTCTGAGGGCTGGGGAGTCTAAGACCAAAATGCCAATAAGTTTGGTGTCTGGTGAGGGCTGCTGTCTGCCTTGTTGCTACATCCTCTGGAGGGGACAAATGCCGTATTCTCACATGGTAGAAGGGACAGAAAGGATTGAACAAACTCCCTTGAGCCTTTCTATAAAGGCCCTAATTCTGTCCATGAGAGCTCTGCCATATGACTCAATCAACTCATAAAGGCCCTACCTCTTAATACTATCACATTGGCAATTAAGTTTCAACATGTGAATTTTGGGGGACACATTCAGACCATAGCAAATGACTTTTGTGTGGAGGGTTACCAGCTAAGCACCTCCCTATGGACAGCTTCCCGTAACTCCAAAGTCAGTTTACAGTGAATACTACTGGTGCCACCCCTCAGTGACTTCTTCGATGTCCAGTGAGACATGGCTGTGCCCTCTCTGATGTGAACTGGATCTGAGCCATGAGTCAGGCATCTTTCTATACCTTCCATTTCCCCTATACCTGCCATTCTTATATTCTTTAGTGTTCTCTTTAACTGTTACTAGCCACTCCAATCCCCTGTTACTAATTGTTTATGTTCAACTTTCCCTATTTGATTACTATGTGGTTTGTATCTCCTTACTGGACCCTGACTGATAAGCATGGTAATTTTATTTTTCTACTGTTCTAGAATTACGTCACAACTTGCATCATTTTAGAAATTTAGAGTTTGATACAATTTAAATATAAAAATGTGTTATAATAACATTTCCTTCCCTGAATAGTTATTTGTTGGTACACCAGCTAAAATTTCACCCCATTTATTAACCCAGCCCAAACTATTCACCTTTAGTTCTGTTCATAGAAGGGAATTTGACACATCAATGAAATGTCAAAGCTTTTTAAGAATTACCTTTCCTTACTTTGCTCAAGATTTCACTCCAACTTTCCTTTTATTCATCCCTCATGCCATTTATAATCTTTACCATATTCCTGAGCCAGAGTGAGGCTCTAGGTAGATGAAGAAGGAGTCTTGTACTTCTTGGTAAAAATAAAAAGTAGAATTTTTAGACAATACCAAAATCTCTCTCCAGCTGTTTGGCTTGTGCCTGCACATAATTATGAAACATACCTGAACACAGTTGACTCATATTACCCAAGAACATAATTCCATCTTATCTAAATCTCACTCTTTCCGTCAACAGACATAGAAAAGCAGAATCAAGTTTTAAGTGTACTTTCTCATTTTTTTTCCCCAAATTTAGGTGCCTTCATATCCACTGCTGCTCAGCTACTCATTTTACCTTTCTTTTTGTCTCATTTTACAATTTTTAAATTGTTCCTAACAATATTATCGCTGATTATCAAATGATGCATACTTTTATGCTTCAAACACAAATTATTTTCAAGGTTTTGTTTCTAAAACTTAATTCCCAAACACAATCACTGATATTTTTACAATAGCTACTCTAAATTCCCAAAGCAAAACTATTTATTAATGAGGCATTTCATTCTTTTAGAGGTTTAGAAATTTTGATTAGCTCTAAATTTAGTCATATTCAAAACTATTTCCATCTAGTTAAGGATAAAATGGAGGATAATTTGATAATTATTTGCAGCTGGATCATAAATGGAGCTCATGTTATTTATTTTTTAAAAAGGCAGAATTGCTGCTTTAGGATATTAATAACTAATCTTGGCTCCAACACTTATTAGCTGTGTGGCCTTAGACAAGTCATTTAACCTTTTTAAGCTTCAAATTCTATCTCTGGAAAATGGAGCTATTAATACTAGAATTTTAAGTATTTGGCACAGATCCTGGCCTTTAACAGCAAATTGATAATTTGTAGCTAATAATGATAATAATAATGAACAAGCTTAAATACATTTATTGCATTTTGTTGTATTGTTTTTACTTGGATAAGTCTTTTGTCTTATTTGTTTTTAAAGTTAACTATTCCTCTATTCCTTTACAAAAAGTTAGTAAAATTATATCACCTCCTTCATACAATTCATAGTTTCAGCTAAATTAAAGATTTAAACGTGGAACCATAAAACAGAAGAAAATATGGATTAAACATCTAATCCAGTGTAATAGTGAGTAGACATCTTCATAAGTACATCTTCATAAGTACATCTTCATAAGTGTGCAAACAAAGGGAGAATCCATACAGGGAAAAACTAATGACTTGAGTATATAAAAATGTAAAAACTCCTAAATCTAAAATAATTAAGCAAAAATAAATAGGAGAATATGAAAAATGGGGAAAATCTTTGCAACATAAACATCAGAGAATGCGATAATACTCAATATATAATAAACCTTATATAGGCATAGAAAACGATATGCACTTCAATACAAAAATGGGCAAAGGACATTAAAAGGAAATACATGACAGGAGAAAAATTACAAGAGCCAAACTAAATAAAAATTTCAGCCTCACTAGATATAAAATAACTGTAAAACAATGAGATGGTATTTTCTTCCCTTTAACATTAGGAAGATGTAAAACTAGGAATATACAATGCTGATAAAGATAAAAGAAAACTAACACACTCATTTTATGTATCAGTTATCTATTGCTTTATTTTTTAATTGTGTAACAAATTACTTCAAAGCATAGTAACTTAAAACAGCAAATACTTATTATTTCATAGTTTTGGTAGGCCAGGAACCTGGAGTGACTTACTTGGGTAGTTCTAACTCAAAGTTACTTGTGAGACTAACTCAGGTTGCAAACATCTGAGGCTTGACCAAGGCTGGAAGATCTAACTCTAAGCATACTTACTTGCTGTAGCCCAGAGGCATTAGTTCCTTTGCCATGTGGGCCTGCACAACATGAGCTAGACAAAAGAGTGAGAGAGAACAAAAGAGCAAAACAGAAGCTGAAGTGCCCCTTATAACCTCATCTCGGAAGTGGCATCCACCACTTCTGCCAAATTCTTTGGATGACATAGTGGAAGAGGAAGTGCCCAAAAGGTAGGGCCATGATGTGACTGAATACTCTGCTACCCATTACAGAAGCAAAGACCACAAATATAACAACGACAAAAATGCAGTAATGGGCTTTGCTTCCTGGAGTTGACAGTATGGGAGGGGCTACACAAAGGTATGAATACAAGGAAGCAGGGAACTTTGGGGACCATCAAAGAGAGTGGCACAATATTCCTGCAGGTCAGTTTGACAACATTTATCAAAATCCTTAAAAAATGCATATTCCTTATGACTCAGAAATTTCACTTACAGCAACTTACCCCAAGAAATTAATCAATAGTTTGCACCAAAATGTATCTTTAAGGATGTCCATTATAGTACTACTTAGAATGGTGAATATTGAAAACAGGTTAAGAAATCAACAATGAGATTGTATGAATATATTGTGGCATGTCTTTATTATGAATACCAAATGTTGGCATCACAAATAATGGAGAATAATTTATGATGATTAAGAAAAATTGTAATGTTGTTAATTGAGAAAAATCGGGTAAGAAAACAATATTTTATTTATTACATTTATTTACGTTGTACATAAACATGTATAGAGACAAAACTGGAAGTTTATATGTGAAATGGGTGGTGGAAGTATGGATAATTATTTTCTTCGGTTTTTACTACATTTTCTAAGTTTCTATAAAAAGCATGTATAATAATAAGAAAAAAGAGACCCTCTTCAAAAACATGCCTGATCATTGTATTGACCAAGAGTAGGTAGAGTATCTGGAGTTTAAAATTCCAGGTGAAATTCTGCAGACTTGCCTGCCATACTTCCCTTGAGGACATAAGCACTCCTGTGGAGGTCCAAAGTTAGGTGAAACATAGCCTTTCTAACAGACATGAAGGGAACCCCTTGGGAGTGATGGAGATGATCCATCTCCTCCATTTATGGGAAAAAATCTCATAAATGGATGGGGTTCTGTTTAGCAACAGAGAGTTACAGTTGCATCCTGAGAGTGAATTTGGTAAATGTGAAATTCCGATCATGTTCTTACTCAATCTTTAGTGGGAAAACTTCTCTGTTATGGAAGTTGAACTTACCCAAGGTCACAAAGCCAGTAAATAGCATAGCTGGAATTTAAAACCAGGATAGGACTGTAGGTTGTTAACCAGTATGTGCTATTTGAAGTTGTTGAAATGGGAATTATGTGATTAGAGATGGGCTTTGTTAAAATTTATCTTCTGGTGGTAAAAAATAGGTTAGAATGTGAAGAATGCATTATTAGCCAAAGAGCTGATAGACTTGGAAAATAATGAGGGCTTAAGATATTAGAGGTCCGTTTAGGGTGATGCACTGGTGAAGTTGAAGGGAAGAAAAGTTGAAAGGAGAAAAAGTTGAAAGATTAGGTTTTTGACTTTCTAGAAGAAAAATTTGAGTTTCCGATTTTGGAGGAAGGAATTGTCTGTATTGGTGGTCTGATGACTGAACCTGTGGGTGCCTCATTGGAGGTCAAGATCACCTGGTCTTAGAGTAGATAACACTGAATAACTGTGGTATTAAAGTATTAGACTGGATATTACCTGGGAAAGGAATGGTTTAGGATGACTCCAAAGGGAAAATTCCAGGACAATTTGTAAATGTCTCCAAATGCATGATGGGAGGATGAATAATAGCTCTGGTCACTTTGTGTTATTTATATATGTCTGCCACCTTTGCCAAACTTTCAACTCCAGGAAGCAAAGCCCATTACTGCATTTTTGTCATTGTTGTACTTTTGGTCTTTGCTTCTGCAGTGTCTAGCAGAATGTTCAGCCACATCATGGCCCTACCTTTTGGGCACTTCCTCTTCCATTTCACTGGATATATTATATATTGAAGTTTCCCATATTCCATGTACATCTTCTTTCTAGTATTAGGGGAATGTACCTCAGAAATGAACTTACATAAAATGTCTTTATTTCTATTAGAGGATGAAGCTACTATAACATGAAGCTACCATAACAATATAAGGGATTTACAGTTGCCAGAATTTGAGCCATGCTGCTGTTACTTATGGTCTTGGAATGTGTCTACTGTTTGTTTTCTACTGTTTGTCTTGCTTTTTAGAAGTCGATTCTTTTAATGTTCTGATACTGTGGAACATATTTGGTATTGTTTTCTCTCATATTGAAAACACAGTGGTCTTTTGTTGCTGAATTTGGGCTTTGATGTTTTTAGCAGAACCAATATGAAATAATCTGCTTCTCCATTACCCATCACATTCTTTTCAGTTGAATTGTCTTGAATGTACCTAAGACAATAAGAACTGACATAAGAAAACAAAAAGTAACATAATGCAATAAAGATGAATAAGATTAAAGGTAAAATGAAAATCCTAATTTTTTTTGGATTAAACTTCTTTTTGCTAATGTTTTGGATTAGCTTAGTGATTCAAAAATCTCGTTCCAAAATTATCTGAATAGTGTGTGCAATAATATCACTATTTTCAATTTCTTTAAAGTATTAATTTTTATAATATGCGATAAAAATTAATATTAGAAAAAATACATTAATGGGCCAGGCGCGGTGGCTCATGCCTGTAATCCCAGCACTTTGGGAGGCCGAGGTGGGCAGATCACAAGGTCAGGAGATCGAGACCATCCTGGCTAACACGGTGAAACCCTGTCTCTACTAAAAATACAAAAAATTAGCCAGGCGTGGTGGCATATGCCTGTAGTCCCAGCTACTCGGGAGGCTGAGGCAGGAGAATGGCATGAACCCAGGAAGCGGAGCTTGCAGTGAGCCGAGATTGCACCACTGCATTCCAGCATGGGCTACAGAGCGAGACTCCATCTCAAAAAAAAAAAAAATACATTAATGAGAAGTAAAGTCTCTTCCTCTCAAACTTTATTCCCATTTCCCAGAGTTATTCACTAATAGCATGCTTTTTGTATATTCCCAAAAATTATTATGCATATATTTGCATGTATAAAATGATTCTCATTTAAATAATAAAAGGGATACATGTTAGTTTTGAAAAAAATTTTCAATAATTCAGAACTGAATAAAATGATAAGCAAAAGTACCTCTTGAACCTATTCCTCCAATATTATTATTGATAGTGTATCATTCTTGATTAGAGACACATACCCACACCCACACAAAACTATACATATTACTTTGTGATATACTTTTTCCCACTTGATAAGATGTATTTGTGGCCATCTTTTCATACTGACATCCACATCTATGCTATCTTTTAAAATTTTCCTGGTGATGCACATTTAGGCAAATATGAGCAATGCTGCAATGGACATCTTTGTAATATGTATATGTTTGTTAAGTCAAAGGGAGTACACATCTAAAATTTTACACATTTAATGCTCATGGTGATAGATATTCCAATTACACTGATTTGATCATTATACATTGTATACAGGTATCAAAATAACAGCATGTGCCCCCAAAATATGTACAACTAATATATGTCAGGACATAAAAAGAAAAATAATTACATAGTTAATACACTCATTGATTAATTCAACAAAGATTTGTTTTATTATGCTTTTAATTTGCATAAAATAATCTCTTCTTGACATTTTCTGGATCCCTTTTCTCTTCTTTTTCTTTGCTGGTTTAAAGCTATACTTTATATACTGTTTTAATTGAAAAATTTCTTACATTAAAATAGATTTCTTGAATATAATTCACATAACATATAATTCACCTATTTTTAGGTGTTTAATGTTTTTCAGTATATTCACGATTTTTGCATCCGTCACCACAATCTAATTTTAAAACATTTTCGTTCTCCCTAAAAGACATCTTGGACTTGACATCTATTCCTCTGCCTCTGTCTGCCCGCCTCCCCAGCCTTTATAGATTTGCCCATTCTGGACATTTCATATAAATGGACTCATATAATATGTGGCCTACTGTGATTGATTTTTTTCACTTAGCATAATGTTTTCTGAGTTAATTCAGGTTGTAGCATGCTTTAGTAATTCATTTCTTTTTGTTGCCAAATAATATTCCATTGTATGGAAACATCACCTTTTTAATACATTTATCAGTTAATGGCATTTTATTTCTTTCCACTATTTTGGCTACTATGAATAATGTTGCTATGAATATTGGTATGGAAGTTTTTGTGTGTATGTATGTTTTCATTTTTCATAGGTATATAACTAGGAGTGGAATTGCTGGGCCGTATGAAAAGTCCACATTTAACATTTTGAGGACTAGCCAAGCTGTTTCCCCTTCACATTCTTGCCAACTCTTGTTATTCTCTGTCATTTTGATTTTGTTTTTCTTTGTCATCCTAGTGGGTAAAAAGTATTACCTTACTGAGGTTTTGATTTGTATTTTTCTGATCACTAGTGATGTTGAATATCTTTTCTTAGCAAATGGTTTATCTTCTTTGGAGAAATGTCTACTAGATCCTTTTCTTGTATTTTCATCGGGTTATTTGTCTTTTCATTAGTGAGTATAAGAGTTCTTTATATATTCCAGATACACATCCCTTATCAGACCTATAATCTGAAAATATTTTGTCTCATTCTGTAGGTTGTTTTTTTACTTTCTTCATGGCATTGTTTGCAACACAATTTTTTAAAAATTTTGATGTAGTACAATTTATTTTTCTTTTGTCACTTGTGCTTTTGGTGGAGCCCCTTACCTTAAAATAATAGACTTTACTTTTTAGAGCACTTTTAGATTCACAGCAAAATTAAGCATAAAGTAAGGCAGTTCCCATATATCCCTTACCCTCACAAATGTACACCCTCCCCTAGTATCTTCATCTCACACCAGAGTGGTACATTTGTTATAACTGGTGAACCTACACTGACACATCATTACCAAAGTCTACAGGTTACATTAAGGCTCACTTTTGGTGGTGCACATTCTATGGGTTTGAACTAATGTATAATGACATATATCCACCATTATAGTATTATACAGAATAGTTTAACAGCCCTAAAAACCCTCTGTGCTGCACGTCTTCTGTCCTCACTGGCAACCACTGATCTTTTTGCTGTCTCCAGAGTTGTAGCCTTTTCAGATCGACTCTTATGTTTAGTAATATGCATTTAAGGTTTTGGAGTGCCTCACATTTTAAACATACATATTTACATTACATCTTCTAACAAAGTTAAAAGTTATTTAGTATCTATTTTTCCAGAACAATGTAAGTACCTTAGTGCCGTTTCTCTACTCAACACTCCCTCATAATTTTTGTTTTTTAGAATTTTAGCTCCACACTTTAAAAAGTGCAGTAAGGAGTTTATATTATAATTGAGGCAGCATATTTAGGCTTGACAGACTATTAATCAAGCTGGATGACACTGAAGCATGTTGCTTAACTTCCCTGTGTCTGCTTCCTCATCTTTAAAATGAGCACAATAATAGTACCCATTGCAAAGTGCTGTTGCAAGGATTAAAATGCAAATTTATTGTTATGTGGGAAATTACTTCCATGTAAGGGTAGCCTCCAAGTGTATTACTTGGTAAGCTAGGCTAGAGCCCATGGTACACAAAAGTGCACAAAACAAATTAAAATTTTCACATCATGACTTATTAAATCAATTTAAAACATAAAACAAAATGTAAGGAAAGAGAGATGGGCCGGATTAACATAACTGAAATATTACACGAGTGGGTTGAAGGGTCATATTAGCCTGAATCTGGTCTGCAGTATTTATATATCCCCCCCTTTATGCTACATTACTCTTTCCTGCTGCTGGTGTAGTTACAAGAACCAGAATGAAAACTTGACCGGGGAGCCCAACAAATAAAAGATGCGTGGGACAATGACACACACTTGTTCCGTGAGGGCTGTGTGTGAGTCACTTGACCAGTAGCTGTGCTCCCCAGTTAGCCTGATGAGCAGTGACAGATTTTATCCTTCAGAAGATCCCAAATGAGAGTCAACAATGGGTGGCTAATTAAAGACCTCATGATTTTCGTGTGCCTCATGTGCTTCATTTGTATTTAGTATATCATTAATATTTTTTGCTTTGTTTGTTATTTAGTGATTCATGAATATTAAATATCTATTTTGTCTTTCTAGCCCTTTCTATGTTCATAGACATATGCTCTACCTTGTGTCTGACACTTCTCAGGTTACTATCTTATCTATGCTTAATGCAGCTCTTTCATTCATTCAATTTGTTTTCTTATCTTCTAGAGCAGAATTGAATACTTCCAAACAATACAGCAACTACACAATTACATACATGTGTTGTGTATACAATAATACCTTGTATCTAGAAATAACTCAATAAATTTAGCTATTATTATTAATGTATAAGATTGTTTTACTGTTTTAATCTTATCTAAGGGTGAAAATGAGCTATGTAGTGAAACTTAATCAGATTAAACAACTAATTAGAAACGTTAATATTAAAGTCATTTGGCTTGATTCTGTTATGAAATTGATAATAAAGTACAAAGTTTATTAGCCAGACCTTTTTACTATTAATGTAATTTATCCTCCTCTCTTTCCAGTTGGATGGATTTTTGGCTATTGTTTATAAGGGTGATACTACTTGTTATTTTTTCCTTTCTTACAGGCTTATCCTCAGTTTGTTCTGACCTACCTAGAGGAGCTAAATGCACAAGTAGATGTGACCCAGACAGAGTATCACATTCACCATGGTGCCTGGACCACAGCTCATCAGGAACATGGCAGAAACTTAGCAGAAGAGGTCAGTGTAGGGAGCCAGAGGCAAGACAGAAATAGCTCTCTAAAATATATTTTGAAAAAAGAAAAAATGTTCAAGTTGTTTTCAGGAGGCAAGCACAAATTCACAACTTAATGTTATGGATAGTTTAAAATAATACACATAATATAATATCTATATGCACATTTATATTTATGTAAACATATAACTTTATATAAACATTTTATTAAACAGATGTGATACCCTTTTTTTCTTAGGATTGCCTTCTTTTCTTTTGGCCACGTACAAAGGACTTATGTGTTGTAGAAACACTGAAGGCACCATGAAAACTGCAGTGTTATATTTTTGGCATGTATAGTTTAGATATTTCCATTCAATGAAAATTAGCTACATGATTCCTATATTTCATTTATTAGGTTCTGCAAGAAAGTGCCAGCAACCTTGGTCTGAAGCAACTGCCAGAACCCTCAGACACCCATTTAATGCCAGAAGGTTCTCTTGAGGAGACGGGGGAGCTGACAGTAGCACTGGTGAGGAAACTGGAAGAGAAACATCCTAAGGCTTCTGCTCAGAGGTAGGGTACTGACAGAACTGAGCTTTATTGCTCAATGACATTCGATATTTTCCTTCAGTTTCATGTAAGATTGATTTCTTGAAGATAATTGAAATATCTCAAAAGCCCTTTGGCTTTCAAGCGTAGTAGTTTTTGGGTCACATTTGATGAAGAAAGGTGACATTTATGTGTATTTTGTTGAAGATTGATGTATGTTATTGTTTATTATTATACTTAGGATGGGTTGCTGTCCTGGGATTTCACTAAAATGCTATGAAATAACTATCATTAACATAATTAAGCTAAGGTACTACAGACCATACACCCAATTGTTAAAATACCAAGCTATGTTGAAGAAGACTATTCCATGGGCAATCCTTTTTATTTTCCATGAGAATATTATATTTGGACTCAAGGTTAAGTGCACAAAAGATGGTCTTAACCAGTGATAACAAATCAACCCTATTTCCCTTCCTAGAATAAAAATAACATCATTGATATTGCTAACCAACTGAAAAATTATCCTTGGTTAAGAAATGGACACAATTTCTCTGATCCTCTTTATTTCATTAGAAACTGAAGTTTATTATTATTTTGTTGGGGTTGATGTTGTAAATCATAAACTGACTTTATAAATTGCAATTTTAATCTAAAACTGTTTGAAATTACTGTTGACTGAAATACTCTTAAAGGAGCCATATAATTCTTATCATATTCACTAAAGTTTAAGGAAATTCCTAAATTTATTTGATTTAATTAATTAATTTATTTATTGTAAAAATGGGGTCTAGCTATATTGCCCAGGCTGCTCTTGAACTCCTGGCCTCAAGCAATCCTCCCACTTCGCTCTCCCAAAGTGATGGGATTATCAGCATGAGCCACCACACCCAGCCTTCCTAAATTTAAATACATGGACTGTAGATAGAAATGTCACTTGCATGAAAAGAGACAAAAAACTTATTTCAATTAAAAGCTATTTTATTCCATGGTGTATATGTGCCACATTTTCTTAATCCAGTCTATGGTTGTTGGACATTTGGGTTGATTCCAAGTCTTTGCTATTGTGAATAGTGCTGCAATAAACATACCTGTGCATGTGTCTTTATAGCAGCGTGATTTATAATCCTTTGGGTATGTACCCAATAATGGGATGGCTGGGTCAAATGGTATTTCTAGTTCTAGATCCCTGAGGAATTGCCACACTGACTTCCACAATGGTTGAACTAGTTTACAGTCCCACCAGCAGTGTAAAAGTGTTCTTATTTCTCCACATCCTCTCCAGCACCTGTTGTTTCCTGACTTTTTAATGATCGCCATTCTAACTGGTGTGAGATGGTATCTCATTGTGGTTTTGATTTGCATTTCTCTGATGGCCACTGATGATGAGCATTTTTTGATGTGTTTTTTGGCTGCATAAATGTATTCTTTTGAGAAGTGTCTGTTCATATCCTTTGCCCACTTTTTGATGGGGTTGGAACAATGAGAACACATGGACACAGGAAGGGGAACATCACACTCTGGGGACTGTTGTGGGGTGGGGGGAGGGGGGAGGGATAACATTAGGAGATATACCTAATGCTAAATGACGAGTTAATGGGTGCAGCACACCAACATGGCACATGTATACATATGTAACAAACCTGCACATTGTGCACATGTACCCTAAAACTTAAAGTATAATAATAATAAAATTTTAAAAAAGAAAAAAAAGAAAAAAAAGCTATTTTATATTACTAAATTACATATTCCACCTGGAATTTTTACAGGAAGGGAACGTTTTTTCTGATAGATAGCAAAAGTGATTCTCCAATTTATTATTTATTTAATTTATTATTTAAACCTCAAGTCTTTTGTACTTGTTGTTTTGAAGATAGAACACAAAGTAACAAATTTAGTACCTTGCTGTATCATAATATGGGGTGTCAGAACGGTACAGAAACTTAAGTTCCAGGTATTCTTTTTCCTGCTAGTTATTTTTTAATCACATACAAGATTCTCAGCTCCCTGATGCTCCATCTACAATAGGACCACAGGCTGAGCAGCCGGATAGTCAAGCCCCTCTCCACTATTCTCACATCACTAGAATGTAATTCCCTTGGGGAAAGTCCTTGTCTGATGTTTTCATCTAAAATAGAAACTCAAGAAACACTGGGACACTTGAGAACTCGTAATACCGCTCTATGAGGCTGTTTCTGGCCTCTCTAGGCTTATTTGGCAGCCATTTCTACTCAGCCATTTTTGAGGGAAAGCTGGCGCTTGTCATTATCTTGGGACCTTATTATCCTGGGTTTTCATCCTTATCCTGGGCTTTACTCAAGAAAGAGGCACAGTTTACTTCTGCTCTCAGATTCCTGAAACATATATGGGGTTTGTGTATTTGCCCCATGCTGTACCTGGCCCTCATGATAACTCACCTGCTTTGCCTATTTCACCCTTCCCATGCTTAAAAATATTTTCTCTAAGGGTATAGGGCACTGGGTAGCTTAGGGATTTGGCTTTTGCATTCTGTTGTTGCTTCTTCCCTGAGGCAATGCAATCTGATGACTGCACTTTGGAAGAAAGGAATATAGTATTAGAAAAAGTGACGCCAAAAAAGACAGCGCAGTTAATGTCAGCTGCCATACCAGAAGACCTATCTGAGGTTGTTAGAATTAACTGAGATGTCTTTAAGTTTCCAGGAAAGTAGTAAGCATTCAAGTGTTAGTTGTGAAAATGTTCTGAAAACAAGTAGAGATAGAAAAGAATTTTTAATAGGGGTTTTACTTAGATTTATGCTTTTTTAGTCAACAGGAATTGACTAGTAAATCTTTTTGGGATTTGATTTCATAAGAAATCTTCCAGAGGCATTTTCTTAGTGAGCATTTCTCAGGGTTTATGTGATAGGCTCCATACGTGATCGGCTCCAGGTGCCTTCTTCTTCTTCTTTTTTTTCTTAAGGCAGGGATTTATCTACATTCTTCCCCCTCTGCCTCCACAATTTACTACAGTAGATGTAATTTCAGTTTCTTTACCTCTTTAAACACACACACACACACACAATCTAAAATGATCACTGAAAAGTAGGCATAGAAGTGTGCTTCTCTCCTTGCTTCGATAAAATAAGTTGTGTGTACATTGAATTCTAAGTTTGGTCCAAAGTAAAGTAAATGCCATATTCTGGCATTAAGTGTCTGGAATGTGTTTGTTTACATTAGTTTATCCAAAGGAGTCCTTTACCCTTTTTTAAATGGAGTAGGGGGTGGAGAAGGACTGGGACAGCCAACAAAGCATGCTGACCCAGCTTGTCACCCAGTGACCTGTGAGAAGGAAATAATGAACTGTGAGTAGCTGTCATCTTAACTGTTTCTGACAGTTTGCCTTTGGGCACATCTGTGTTAGTTGCATTGGAAAGGCCTTTGTTCTTTTCCCACTAGTGACTTTGTGGAGTGCTGAAGGGTTTGCTAGCTACTGTACTCCTAACCAGCCCTTCCTTCCCAGGGAAGCGAGCAGCTGCCAGGGATCGCACTGACATTTCTCTTCATGACTCAACTTGGCATGGACTTCATTCTTTTAAAAGAAAACATAGATTTAAAAGCCATTTGACTTTTTTTCAATTAAAATGTGCTTTAATATCTCATGAGCTTTGGAACTAATAAAACAGCAAACTTATAAAAATACATTTAGTATTATCCTAATTTTATATAGACAAATAACTAACCAAATGGGCGGGTGATTTGAAGAAAATATAACAAATTATTGAAAGTTTTTGTCACATTTTTAAATATTTAGTTATTTCCCAAATTTTAATAATTAAATGTTTGCATTAGGACAAAAATCAATACAAGTTATGAAGAGCATTTTAAATGTAGACACTTGATACTTTGCTATTAAGAATATTTGGACTAAAATTGATAATTGTCATGTTACATTTTGTTTCACATTTTCCACTGATACTTTTAAAATAAACTTTTATCTAAAAATATAAACTTCAGAATATTGCAGTATTTAAATTTTAAAGTCTATCTTGCACATAAAATTATTGTAATCACTAGGAGATATGATTTGATAAGAAACAGGTGTTTCTGTCCCTTGGTTTTTCTGAAGTATAACTACCAATTCAATGGTAACAAAGGCAGAACATTTTGAATAATGCATATCATGCCCTAAGATAATTGTTTACATTAAAATGAAAGCTTCATTTATAAAATATAATTCCTGAGTGAGTTTTAAAGCCTTATTTACATTTTTACAATTGCTGTAAAGTCAGTCCTTCTGCTATAATTATGTCCAGCTACAATTGGCATGAAATAAAATTGAGCGTTTGGTTCTCAATTTATTATGTTTACCATTTTAGGAGAATATAAATTCAAACTCTACTGCATTGGTCAATTTTTATAAGGCCCTTTTTTCCCCTGATAAAATAGGAGAAATGAAGCTTGAAAGAAGTGACATGCTTTTTTCTTTATTCAAGGTTCTTTTCTCTTAGTAACAGATTTGAGATGCACCAGCTAAAGGAACTGTTATAGTCTCCTGCTTTTCAAAGAAAGGCAAATCAATAGCAATGAGAAACTCTTTAAGCAGACAAATAATGATCATGTCTATATAATTATAAATTGTAAAAACCCACATATTAAAAATTGAATTACATTCTGATTTTCTTGAGTATACAGTAGCATAAGAGTACTATATTAAATCATTTATGTAGCTTTGCATATAGTTGGTGGTAATTTGTAACTCTTATTTGCTTTGAACTTTCTCCTCCTTCTGCTGAGTAAATATTAACACAATTTTTGTAGAGCTAGTGAACTCACAGGTCAGTTTTGACAATAGTCAGGCTGTCTTTTTAAGAAAAGTGAATTGTTTAAATTGCTACAGCTCCATTTCTTATTTCTAGAACTATTACCAATAAAGGTAAATGTTAATATAATAATTGCTTTTGATAGTCATTAAATCCAACTATACTTTCTAGGAATAAAATCCCAGGCTTTATTACATTACTTTTCTTAGCTATTGAAGATACTCAGCTTTAAGCATTTGCCTTTAGCTGTTTTATGCTGTATTTGGAAGCGTGGCATTATATTTAAGAACATGAAATTATTGTATATTTCAAGATTGTGAAGGTATAATTTTGTTTTTTGATTAGAAAAGTCAAATATCCTGATATTGGCTGATACTGTTGCCTGTTTAGGTTTCGGTATATTTTAAAAATTAATTCCTGTATGTTCTCTGTGAATTAAAATAAAGTGAACAAATAATGTAATTGCATCTGTTTCTTTGAAACAAAGTCAAAAATCAAGCATTCTAAAAGATTAGGCTTATGTCTATAAATGTGCATTAATTCAGAAATTCTCAAAGATTTTCAAGTAAGCATTTTATGATTATTTTTTGTTTTTGTTTGCTGCTGTGAGGTACCCAAACCTTCAACTATGCCACATAGTTTCCATTTTCACGATGTACTATTTATTTTTCTGTTGTATTCAGTTTTGTCTATAGAACTATTTAAGGCATGAATGCGATGCTCTACTCTTACCTTCTTCAAACTTGCAGCCCCCAAACTAGAGTGTCTAGTATTATAATAGTGAAAATAGTAGGTAATGATTTCTGGATTGGATAATATGGATGAAAAAAGAGGAGACAGGTGGTAGAGATAATAAATTACATTTAGATGGACTTGGATGAGACCAGAGTGCAAGCTGTCAAAATGATCTATAGATTAGCTTCCTACCTTGTCTATCTCTTTCAACCTTTGTCCTCCTACAATTTATTCTCCAGTTAAGGGCCAGAATGATCCTTTTATATTCATAATTCAGATCATGGGAATCCTCAGTTCCATATCTTTCAATGGCTTCTTATTTTCTCTAGAGTGAAAACAAAGTCTATGCTAAATGTCCCACTTTACCAGTCCCATCATATCTCTGATCACCATTTCCCTCCCTTCCTCTGCTCTAGTCACCCTGGCTTCATGGCCTTTTCTGAGATACAAGGCATACATGCTCATACCCTATCATTCTCTTTCCCTGCTTTATTTTTCTTCACGATACTTATTGCTACCTGTCATATACATATATATTTACTGTCTGAATTGCCCAATTAGAATGTAAGCTTCACTTCAGCAGGAAGTGTTTTCTTTACATTTGTACCTCCAGGGCCGGAACATACCCGGTACATGGTGGGTACTCAATACAAAGTCGCTGAATGAATGAACAAAGAAATGAATGAAGGGGTATGATTAATGGAATTAAGAAAATGGAGAGAGCAAATAGTCTGAGCATTTACATGTACATTTCAAGACCATCCTGTCTGCCAGCCAACTATAGCCCTATGATCTACTCGTGTGTCAATCCAAAACTGAGCCCAACTATTCCAATGGCTTTCTGGCTGAGTCAATATCATCTATATATTCTATCCTTTTTTAATGCGTAAATATTTATTGAGCATGTTCTATGTTCTAAACACTATTTTATGGTATCCTAGGCACTGGGGATTCAGTATGGGGAAGACAGGTACACTTTCTGGCCTCACAGAGCTGTCCCCACACAGAGCTGTCCCCACAGAATCTAACAGGGAAGAGAGAAATTAAACAAGTCATTACGGTAAAAGAGCATGATGGGTGTTGCTGTAGGGAGAAGGTAGTTCATCCTGAACACTCCTCCCTGGTGATATGCTTTTGAAGTACTACTTTGAATATTACACTCACAGACTTATAATTCTTCAGAGTTTACTCATTCCCTTAGTGAAATTAAGCATTAACTGTCAGACCCACTATGCTTAAGTCTCAGGATCTCCATGTACTTGATAGACCCAAGCTGATTGTACTTGGCCCATGCTAGTTTGCTTGTCTCAAACACTCCTATTCCCTTTTATCTACCTAAAACCTTACCCTCTGTATGGCCCATTTTCATTGATTTTTTTCTCAGCTTTTCTTCTCATGATGTGTACATTTAAGGATACAAATTTACTTCGAAGCATGGCTTTAGCTTCATTGCACTCATTTTACTATTTTATATTTTCATTATCATTTCCATTGTATTATATTGTTTAATCCATGGACTATTTAGGATATTTCTTAATTTCCAAATATATGAAATATTTCAGCTTTGTATTATTGACTTCTAGATTAATTTCACAGTGGTTGGAAAACATTTTTGATTTGATTTTAATTCTGATATTTGTTGAGATTTCTTTTTCTCTTTCTCTCTCTCTTTCTTTCTTTCTTTCCTTCCCTCCCTCCCTCCCTCCCTCCCTTCCTTCCTTCCTTCCTTTCTTTTCTTTCTTTCGAGATAGAATCTTGCTGTATTGCCCTGGCTAGAGTACAGTGGTGCCATCTCGGTTCACTGCAACCTCTGCCTCCCGAGTTCAAGAGATTCTTGTGCCTCAGCCTCCTGATGAATATCTGGATTACAGGCACGCACCACCATGCCTGGCTAATTTTTGTATTTTTAGTAGAGATGGGTTTTCACCATGTTGGCCAGGCTGGTCTCCAACTTCTGACCTCAAGTCATCCACCTGCCTCAGCCTCCCAAAGTACTGGAATTATAGGTATGCACCACCGTGCCCAGCCTGAAATTTGTTGAGATTTCTTTATGGCCCATCTACCATATACACATTTTTAATAAATGGTACATGTGAACTTGAGAAAATACATATTCTGAAGTTTGGGGGTGCAGTGTTCTGTATATTTCAATTAGATTAAGTTTGATACATGTGTTTTCAGATCTTGTATATACTTACTGATACTTTGTCTGCTTGTTATGTTATTTACTGAAACATGTATGGTAAAAATTCCCCACTAAATTGTGGATTTTTCTATTTCTCCTTTGAGTTTTATGAATTTTTCTTTTCTATAATTTGAGATTATTAGGTACATACAATTTTGGAATTGTTTTATCTTTCTGGTCAATTAAGCCTTACATTGTTATAAAATACTCTCACATACTCTCTCCCTTTTTAAAGTTTACTTTGTCTCATATTAAATATAGTGGTCCCAGCTTTTTGGTCAGTGTTTGCATGATAAATTTTGGTGTCCTTTTACTTTTAAACTTTATCTTTAATGCTGAGGGAGTGTTTTGTATGAAAAAGTATTTTTTAGTGCAGTATTACAATCTCTGTCTTTTAATTGAAATATTTAGTCCATCTATTCCAATAATGTAATTACTGGTATTTTGGAGTTTAAATCTAACATGTTATTATTTGATATCTATATGTTCCATTTATTCTGTGTCCTGTTTTCTCTCTTTTTTGGTCTCCTCTAAAATTTATTATTTTATGTTATTTAATTTCCTTTCTCCCAATTATCTTGATAGTTAACTTTATTTTATTATTATTTTTAGTGACTGCTGTGGAGATTATACATGCTGCCTTGACTTACTAAAGCCTAATATAAATTAGTGTTTTTACCATTTCACAAACAATTCAAGAACCTTGGAACTCTTAATCTCCATATATGCACTTTCTCTCTAAATGCTGGCATGTTTTAGTTCTATACGTATTTTTAAATTCTTTTAAAATATTTCCATAATTTATTAGGGTACAGGTGGTATTTAGTTACTTGAGTAAGTTCTTTAGTGGTGATTTGTGAGATTTTGGTGCACCCATCACGCGAGCAGTGTACACTGCACCATATTTGTAGTATTTTGTCCCTCACCCCACTCCCATCCTTCCCCCCAAGTACCCAAAGTCCATTGTATCCTTATGCCTTTGCATCCTCATAGCTTAGCTCCCACATATCAGTGAGAACATATGATGTTTGGTTTTTCCATTCCTGAGTTACTTCACTTAGAATAATAGTCTCCAATCTCACCCAGGTCACTGCAAATGCTGTTAATTCATTCCTTTTTTATGACTGAGTAGTATTCCATCATATAAATAAACCAAAGTTTCTTTATCCATTTGTTAATTTATGGGCATTTGGGTTGGTTCCACAATTCTGCAATTGCAAATTGTGCTGCTATAAACACGCATGTGCAAGAATCTTTTTCATATAATGACTTCTTTTCCTCTGGGTAGATACCCAGTAGTGCGATTGCTGGATCAAATGGTAGTTCTACTTTTAGTTCTTAAGGAATCTCCACACTGTGAAAACAGTGGAAACACTATGGAAACATAGTGATTGTACTAGTTTACATTCCCACCAGCAGTGTAGAAGTGTTCCCTGTTCACCGCATCCATGCAAACATCTGTTTTTTGATTTTTTTATTATGGCCATTCTTGCAGGAGTAAGGTGGTATTGCATTGTGGTTTTGATTTGCATTTCCATGATCATTAGTGGTGTGGAGCGTTTTTTCATATGTTTGTTGGCCATTTGTATATCTTCTTTTGAGAGTTGTTTAGGTCCTTAGCCCACTTATTGGTGGGATTGTTTGTTTTTTTCTTACTGATGTGTTTGAGTTCGTTGTAGATTCTGGATATTAATCTTTTGTCAGATGTATAGATTGTAAAGATTTTCTCTCACTCTGTGGGTTGTCTGTTTACTCTGCTGACTGTTCCTTTTGCCGTGCGAAAGCTCTTTAGTTTAATTAAGTCACAACTATTTATCTTTGTTTTTATTGCATTTGCTTTTAGGTTCTTCATCATGAAATCCTTACCTAAGCCAATGTCTAGAGGGTTTTTTTCTAATGTTATCTTCTAGAATTTTTATAATTTCACATCTGAGATTTAAGTCTTTAGTCCATTTTGAGTTGATTTTTGTATAAGATGAGAGATAAGGATCCAGTTTCATTCTCCTACATGTGGCTAGCCACTTATCCCAGCACCATTTGCTGAAAAAGGTGTCCTTTCCCCACTTCATGTTTTTGTTTGCTTTGTCTAAGATCAGTTGGCTGTAAGTATTTGGGTTTATTTCTGGGTTCTCTATTCTGTTCCATTGGTCTATGTGCCTATTTTTACACCAGTATTGTGCTGTTTTGGTGACTATGGCCTTATAGTATAGTTTACAGTCAGTGTGATGCCTCCAGATTTGTTCTTTTTGCTTAGTCTTGTTTTGGCTATACGGGCTCTTTTTTGTTTCCATATGAATTTTAGAATTGTCTTTTCTAATTCTGTGAAGAATGATGGTGGTATTTTGATGGGAATTGCATTGAATTTGTAGATTGCTTTTGGCAATATGGTCATTTTCACAATATCAGTTCTACCCATCTGTGAGGATGGGATGTGTTTCCATTTGTTTGTGTCATCTATGATTTATTTCAGCAGTGTTTTGTAGTTTTCCTTGTAGAGGTCTTTTGCCTCCTTGGTTAGGTAAATTCTTAAGTTGTTTTTTTTTTTTTTCTTTTTTCCTTTTTTCAGCTATTGTAAAAGGGGTTGAATTCTTGATTTGATTCTCTGCTTGGTCACTGTTGGTGTGTAGAAGAGCTACTGATTTGTGTACATTAATCTTGTATCTGGAAACTTTGCCGAATTCTTTTATTAGTCTTAGGAGATCTCTGGAGGAGTCCTTAGGGTTTTCAAGGTAAAACAATCATATCATCAGCAAACAGTGACAGTTTGACTTCCTCTTTAATGATTTGGATGTCCTTTATTTATTTCTCTTGTCTGATTGCTCTGGCTAGGACTTCCAGTACTATGTTGAAGAGGAGTGGTGAGAGTGGGCATCCTTGTCTTGTTGCAGTTCTCAGATGGAATGTTTTCAACTTTTCCCCATTCGGTATTATGTCGGCTGTGGGTTTGTCATAGATGACTTTTATTACATTAAGGTATGTCCCTTATATGCCAATTTTGCTGAGAGTTTTAATCATAAAGGGATGCTGGATTTTGTTGAATGCTTTTTCTCCATCTATTGAGATGATCATGTGATTTTTGTTTTTAATTCTGTTTATGTGGTGTATCAAATTTATTGACTTGTGTATGTTAAACCATCCCTGGTATGAAACCCACTTGATCATAGTGGATTATCTTTTTGATATGTTGTTGGATTCATTTAGGTAGTATTTTGTTAAGGATTTTAGCATCTATGTTCATCAAGGATATTGGTCTGTAGTTTTCTTTTTTGGTTATGTCCTTTCTGGGTTTTGGTATTAGGGTGATGCTGGCTTCATAGAATGAATTAAGGAGAGTTCCTTCTCTCTCCATCTTGTGGAATAGTGTCAAAAGATTGGTACCAATTTTTCTTTGAATGTCTGGTGGAATTCTGCTGTGAATCCGTCTGGTGCTGGACTTTTTTTGTTGGTAATTTTTAAATTACCATTTCAATCTCACTGCTTGTTATTAGTCTATTCAGGGTATCTAATTCTAGCTGATTTAAGCTAGGAGGGTTGTATTTTTCCAGGAATTTATAAGTCTCTTGTAGGTTTTCCAGTTTATGTGCATAAAGGTGTTCATAGTAGCCTTGGACAATCTTGTATTTCAGTGGTATCAGTTGTAATGTCTCTTGTTTTGTTTCTTAGTGAGGTTATTTGGATATTCTCTCTCTTTTCTTCGTTAATCTTACTAATGGTCTATCAATTTTATTTATCTTCTCAAAGAACCAGCTTTTTGTTTCATTTATCTTTCGTAATTTTTTTTGTTTCCATTTCATTTAGTTCTGCTCTGATCTTGGTTATTTCCTTTCTTCTGTGGGGTTTGGGTTTGGTTTGTTCTTGTTTCTCTAGTTCCTTGAGGTGTGACCTTAGATTGTTTTCTTGTGCTCTTTCAGACTCTTTGATATCAGTGTTTAGGGCTATGAACTTTCCTCTTAGCACTGCCTTTGCTGTATCCCAGAGGTTTTAATAGGTTGTGTCACTATTGTTACTCAGCTCAAAGAATGTTTAAATTTCCATCTTGATTTCATTTTTGACCCAATGCTCATTCAGGAGCAGGTTATTTAATTTCCATGTATTTGCATGGAGTTGATTTCCATTTTTATTCCACTGTGGTCTTCGAGAGTGTTTGATGTAATTTCAGTTTTCTTAAATTTATTGAGGCTCGTTTTATGGCCTATCATATGGTCTATCCTGGTGAAAGTTCCATGCACTGTTGAATGGAATGTGTATTCCACGGTTGTTGGATGAAATGTTCTGTATATATCTGTTAAGTCTATTTGTTCCAAGATATAGTTTAAATCCAATGTTTCTTTGTTGACTTTCTGTCTTGAAAACCTGTCTAGAGCTGTCAGTGGAGTATTGAAGCCCCCCACTATTATTGTGTTGTGGTCTATCTCATTTCTTAGGACTCTTACTAATTGTTCTATAAATTTGGGAGCTCCAGTGTTAGGTGCATATATGTTGAGGATTGTGATATTTTCCTGTTGGAGAAGGCCTTTTACCATTATATAATGTCTCTCTTTGTCTCTTTTAACCGCTGTTGCTTTAAAGTTTATTTTGTCTGATACAAGAATAGCTACCCCTTCTCACTTTTGGTGTTCATTTGTATGAAATGCCTTTTTCCACCCCTTTACTTTATGTTTATGTGAGTTCTTATGTGGTTGATGAGTCTCTTGAAGGCAGCAGATAGTAGGGTGGTGAGTTCTTATCCATTTTGTGGTTCTGTATGTTTTAAGTGGAGCATTTCAGCCATTTACATTCAATGTTAGTATTGAAATGTGATGTACCATTGCTTTCATCTTGCTCATTGTTGCCTGTGTAATTTGTTTTTTTGTTTGTTTTTTGTTTTTGCTTTTTAACTTGTATTTTTGCTTCATAGGTCCTGTGTGATTTATGCTTTAAAGATGTTCTGTTTTTATGTGTTTCTAGGATTTGTTTCAAGATTTAGAGCTCCTTTTAGCAGTTCTTTTAGTGGTGGTTGGTAATGGCGAATTCTCTCACCATTTGTTTGTCTGAAAACGACTATATCTTTTCTCCATATATGATGCTTAGTTTTGCTGGATACAGAATTCTTGGCTAATAACTGTTTTGTTTGAGGAGGCTGAAGATAGGTCCCCAATCCCTTCTAGTTTGTAGGGTTTCTGCTGAGAAATCTCCTGTTAATTTGATAGGTTTTCCTTTATAGGTTACCTGGTGCTTCTGCCTCACAGCTCTTAAGATTCTTTCCTTCATCTTAACTTTGGATAACCTGATGACAATGTGCCTGGGCGAAGATCTTTTTGCTGTGAATTTCCCAGGTGTTCTTTGTGCTTCTTGTATTTAGCTGTCTAGGTCTCTCACAAGGCTGGGGAAGTTTTCCTTGATTATTCCCCCAAATATGTTTTCCAGGATTTTGTAATTCTCTTCTTCCTCAGGTACACCAATTATTCTTAGATTTGGTTGTTTAACATAATCCCAGACTTCTTGGAGGCTTTGTTCATATTTTCTTATTGTTTTTTCTTTGTCTTTGTTGGATTGTTAATTTGAAGACCTTGTCTTTGAGCTCTGAATTTCTTTCTTCTACTTGTTCAGTTCTATTGCTGAGACTTTCCAGAGCATTTCACATTTCTAAAACTGTGTCCAAATTTTCCTGAATTTGATTTTTTTTAAGCTATCTATTTCCATGAATATTTCTCCCTTCACTTCGTGTATCATTTTTTGGATTTCCTTGGATTGGGCTTTGCCTTTCTCTGGTCCCTCCCTGATTAGCTTAACAACTAGCCTCTGAATTCTTTTTCATGTAAATCAGGGATTTCTTCCTGTTTTGGATCCATTGCTGGTGAACTAGTGTGGTTTTTTGGGGGTGTTGAAGAGCCTTGTTTTGTCATATTATCAGAGTTGGTTTTCTGGTTCCTTCTCATTTGCATAGGCTCTGTCAGAGGGAAGGTCTAGGGCTGAAGGCTGTTGTTCAGATTCTTTGATGTAGACTCTCCCCCTTTTCCTATAGATGTAGCTTCCTGTGAGTTGAACTGCAGTTATTGTTGTCTCTCTTCTGGGTCTAGTGAAGCAGTGAGTCTTCCCGGCTCCAGGCTGGTACTAGGGGTTGTCTGCACAGAGTTCTGTGATATGAATCATCTATGGGTCTCTCAGCCGAGGATACCAGTGGCTGTTCTGGTGGAGGTGGCAGCAGGTGCAGTGGACTCCATGAGGGTTCTTAGCTTTGGTGATTTAATGCTCTATTTTTGTGCTGGTTGGCCTCCTGCCAGGACACGGTGCTTTCCAGGAAGCATCAGCTGTAGTAATGTGGAGAGCGACTGGCGATGGGTGGGACCCTAGAACTTCCAAGATTAAATGCCCTTTGTCTTCCACTATCAGGGTTGATAGGGAAGGACCATCAGGTGGGGGCAGGGGTAGGCGTGTCTGAGCTCAGACTGTCCTTGGGCAGGTCTTGCTGCAGCTGCTGTAGGGGATGAAGGTGAGATTCCCAGGTAACTGGAGTTGTGTGCCTAGGAGGATTATGGCTGACTCTGCTGAGTCATGCAGGTTGTCAGGGAAGTGGAGGAAAGCGGGCAGTCATAGGCCTCACCCCGCTCCCATGCAAACTGAAGGGCCCATCCCACTCCCACTGTGCCCACCCCCAACAGCCCTGAGTCCGTTTGCAGATGAGGGCGAGATGGACTTGAAAATTTGCCTGAGGCTATCTGCCTCCCAGCTGTGACAGAAAAGGGCTTTAGTTCTTCCCCTACCTGTGAAGTCTGCAAGCCAGATTCTCACCCTCCCTGGAGTTCTGGCCAGGAGGCTTCTTGCCCTGTTCAAATTTTTACGAAGTTCAGCTAGAGATTTCCTTCTCCCTGTGGAGTTTTACTCCTTGCTCCTCTGGCCACCCTCGCAATGGATCCCTGTGGTGCCAGGCAGGAATGGCTGCTTGGGGAGCCAGCAAGCTCCCAGGGCCTTTCTGCTGCTTCCTGTACCCCTGTATTTCACTCGGCTCTCTAACTTGACTCAGCTCCAAGTAAAGTTGGAAACTTCTCCCGCAAACAGACCTTCAGCTTCTCCACTGAAGGTGTGTGTTTGGGAGAGGAGGGTCTCCCTTTCCCACTTTCGCAGTTGAGGCACTCACAGTATTTGGGGTGTCTCTTGGGCCCTGCAGGAGCAGTCCACTTCCTTCAGAGGGTCTGCGGGTCCTCTTGGGATTGCTGGTTTATTCATGCAGTCGATCTAGAGCTAAAATTCACAATGCTAACCTCCTCATGCTGCTCTGTCCAGAGCTGCAATCTAGTCTTGCCTCCCGTCCACCATGATCCCCTGAATCCCCCAAACATCTTTAATTCTTGTCTAGAATGTATTTGTTCAGTCTCTGAATATTCATTAAGTACCTTCTTTCTGCCAGAAACTTTGTTGGACACTTGAAAATAAAAATGTATACAAAAAGCTCATGATATTCATGAGTTCATAGTGTTACAAAATCTTTCCGTGCCATCACTAGTGAAAATCTGACTTGGGTTGGGCAAATTTATTGATCATGAGGTTTGTTTGACTTCATGGCCTGTCAAGTTACCGTCTTTATTCCTTTCTATTTTATAAAGCTTATATAACTAACCTGATCAAATAAGAGACCTGAATTTGTACTTTCTGACAGCATTTTATTTTCTTTGCACAAACAAAAGTCATCCATTTTTATTTTTTATTGTTTTAAAACTGGAATACAGAATTAACCAAACTATGACATAGGCCGTGTCTCAGAATTACTTTTACATTTTTAAAACAGAAATACCAAATATCAGTCTCTTATGATGAATGACCTCTTTAAATATTTCTAAACAATAAAGAAGTTTGATTTCAAATAAGTTAAGAATAATTGTTATAGTATATGTAGCCATTTTAATTGCCCATCAGTGTATCTATTTTAATACAACTAATTGACAGTCCTTTTTTTTTTGAGACGGAGTCTTGCTCTTTCGCCCAGGCTGGAGTGCAGTGGCGCAATCTCAGCGGACTGCAAGCCCCGCCTCCCGGGTTCACGCCGTTCTCCTGCCTCAGCCTCCCGAGTACCTGGGACTACAGGCGCCTGCCACCACGTCTGGCTAATTTTTTTTTTATATTTTTAGTAGAGACAGAGTTTCACCATGTTAGCCAGGATGGTCTCGATCTCCTGACCTCGTGATCTACCCACCTTGGCCTCTCCAAGTGCTGGGATTACAGGCATGAGCCACCGCGCCCAGCCGACAGTCCTTTTAACTGACTTGTTATCTGTATGTTTGTCATGAGTCCATTCTTTTTTGACCAGAAGTCTCTAATTGGGGCTTTCTGTGAATTAGAGGCAAGGGGTTCGACTGAGCAGACAGAGCAATGTGCCAATATTCAGATGCCCAGAAACAATGTAGGATGCATTTTCTAGATTTTAATTTGGTGAATTTCGTATCAGGATTTAAATCTTTAACTCCCATTGCTAAACTTTTTTCATTGTGTTCTCTCTTATTCTATGATTTACTAATATTTGAAAGTCAATTCATAGTAATAGCTAATATGCATTAATTTCTCATTTTTGTATTCATCCATTCATTTGATAAATGCTCATTGAGCACTTATAAGGAGAGATGGCATAACTTCCTGACATCTCTGAACTACAGTCAGATTAGTGTGGCTTCCAGTCCTAGCTCTCCTAAGTACTCACTGTATGATTTGGGGTAAGATATTTAATATTACTTGATTTCCTCAAATACAAAAGAGGGATAGTGATTATTGTGACGTTTAAATGAGACTATGAATATTAAAGTTGAGCCCAGTTCTTGGTATAGTAAATGTTCGGTAAATGGCAGCTTGTATGACAATAATAATGTGCTATTGTTAGTATTAGTATAAAGTGCAAAATATTATAAAATGCAACAAATTCCTGTCTTTAAAGAATCTGAAATCTCTTTAAAGAATCTGAATTCCTGCCTTTAAATAAGTTGTGCACTGCTAAATTTTATATGTTATTCAAAAAGTAATTTTTCAGTTATCATAGGATGTAGAGAATTGTACTATATAGTATTACAGTGGTCTTTAAGTTAAAAAAAATCCCTCCATCCTCAAGGAATTTTGCAATCTAAATATGAATATACACAATGAAATAACTTAGTAGTGACAAACTATAGTCACATTATAAAAATGTGTTTTTAGCCTCTGTGAATAAAAGAAATTGAGTATATTAAATCACCTCTATTGCCAAGTTGGAGGATATAAATAAAAGTGATAGTCTACTCTTGAGAAAGTTGAAATGTAGTTGAAGAGATAAGGTTAAAAACTTTAATGACTTTTATTGTTTCTCTTTATGCATGTTTATCACTAACCCTTAAAAAACTAATGAACAGAAAAAAATATACAATCTTGATTATTATTTTTTCTCTCTCCCTTTTTATAAATATCTGGCTGTTGTAGTTACATTTACAAAACTGAGGACATGCTGATTTTTTTTTCTGTTCAACAATGACAACACAATAACAGACATTAAGATTTTCTGTGAACATGTTTTCCTTACATTAAATATATGACTACATTATCATCCTTCAGTGTGAACCTTAATTTGTATAATGTAATGTTATAGGACTTTAAGAGGTTTCCAATTTTTTTTTGCTTTTATAAAAAAGATGACAATGAACAACAGATAGAAACTTGGAACACAGGGTAGAAGTTAAATAATAAGACTCAAATGGAATTTCCACACAGCAGTACATGAGGATACGCCACCTCACAAATGCCAAGAGTGTGGGAAAGAATGGATGGCTGTGTGTTTGGAAGACATTGTGGAAGAGAAGGGTCTGGAACCAGAAGAAGGATAGTTGGGATTTGTTTTGTTTGAAAGGAAAGAGAAGGACATTTCATGAAGGTGAAAGAGTCTGATTTCTTATTTATAAAATGATGGCTCCCCTAACAATAATGCATAAACGTGTAAAGTTTTTATTGTGAAAACTGCCGTCCAGTTCTGCCAGTTTGAGAATGGATGTTTTTATATGTGTCATATCTTAACAGAAACCTAGGATTTGTTTTAATTTCTATTTAAGTGAGCTCATATATCAAGCAGAAAGCTCTCATCACGAGGTAGGTCATAATTTTCTAACTGGTATAAGTTCCCTGGAAGCAACCAGAATTTTTTTTTCTCTTTTTCTACCCTTAATTGCACATATGGCTTTTTTTTTTTCTTACTGAGGCCAGTGAACACTTTGAGATTAACAGGACTCTTAATTTTGAAAGTTTTTAATTTTCTTTTTCAATGAATTTAACTTTGGCATAATTGAACCCATGTCTACCACTGGAAATTTGACAGTATAAAAAATTTTCAGTGTTTCAAAATAAGTTGAGAAAAAGATACCTTAGTGTTTATTTGGTACACATCATATATGGCTACTAAGATGCAGCTATTCTCTGAATATGACTGAGGACATTGGGTAGCACTCCATATTTACAAGCAGAAAGGCTTTTCCTATGAATGGTTAAACATGAATACTATTCAACATTAAGAAGGAATAAACTCTTGAGACACACAACAACTTGTATGAACCACAGTGAAATTCTGCTGAATGGAAAAAGCCAATTTCAAAAGCAAACACACTTTATGATTCCATTTATGTAACATTCATGAAATAACATAATTATAGAGATGGAGAACAGGTTAGTGGTTTCCAGGGGCAAGCAACGTGGATATGAATAAAGGGAGTCTTGTGATTGAACAGTCTAGTGTCTTGATTGTGATGTGTTACATATGTGATGGAATTGAGTAGAGCTACACACACATGCAAACACACACACATGAGTGCATGCATAACTAGTGACATCTAAATAAGCGCTATGGATTGTACCAGTGTGAATTTCTTAACATTGTACCGTATTTGTGTAAGATATTACCACTGGAGAAGCTTGGAAAATGGGTTTGGGACTGCTCTGTGTAACTGCCTATGAATCTATAATTACTTCAGAATAAAAAGTTTAAAAAAAGAAAAACATCTCCCAATTGGACATATCCACCACTGAGAACAGAGACTCCATGCAGTTGGAGAGCTCTGTGGAAAGGAAATTACTTGACTGCACTTATGAGCTTATCTAGGCGGGTTCGATACTCCTGAGAAGAAAAGTTTGTTAAAAAAACTAGGAACAGTTATCTTGAACCTCTGAAAGAATGGTACCATTAGAACTAGAGAGCAAGTGTTTCTCTAAACTTACAGCAATTGTGTTAATGTTTTTTAAAAAGCAAGTTACAACGTAGCTACAAAACGAATTCCTGGTTCTAACAGCAGGTGGAGGTATTTAGCATACTTCTAATAGGGAATTTTCTGCTAAGCTATTTAGAAGCCTACATTGGAAGTCTGTTTCTCTGTAAGAGTAACAAAATAAGTAAGTCTAAGGCGAGTTAAAAAAAAAAAAGGAAAAAGAAAAGAAAAAATGGGGTCAAATTCAGTAAACTTGAGGGAGAGGGAAGGATTTTGCCCTCCGTCACGTGTAAGAAGTGGGTCGCACAAGCAGAAATTTCTCTGAGTAGGAAGAGTAAAAATTAAATTCCTAAATTTGAGAGTCTTTTTCCTGTTTTATTTGTAAGAAGTACATGTAGGAAAAGGTGTGTGCATATGTGTGTGTTGGTGAGATTGGAATGCTCCTTTTTAGTCTACACACATATACATATAAGTATATTTATGAGACTACAAATAGATATATAAAGTATATATAAGACATAAGATTTTATATTATTATGCCTATACGTCTTGTAAAATACTCATTGTGGTTTACTGGTATACCATAGATTTCATTATTCCAAGGTTGAACAAAAAGTATAATAACATCTCTCTCACTGTGTCATGAAAGCCCAAATAATTAGTTTATTATTTGTCCTGAAACATCAGCACCACATGGTATTGTAGCAATAACTGCCTGTATTAGCTATCATTGCTGGGTAACAAGGTACCACAAACATAGCAGTTTAAAACAATGGCCATTTATTATCTCACAGTCCATTTAAACACAGCGAGTTTTCACCAAGTCCAAATGAACTTGTCTGGATTCTCTACTTAGGGCTTCTTAAGGCTGAAATTGAAGTGTTAGCTAGGCTGGACTGTTATCTGGATGCTCTGGGGAAGACTCAGCTTCCAAATCATTCCAGTGTGTTGGTCAAATTCAATTGTTCGTAGTTATAAGACAGATGTCCCCTTTTTTTTGGCTGGCTGTCACTCAGGGCCACTCTCAGTTCCTAGAGGGTACCCATGTTCCTTGGCACACAGCCCCTTCCATCTTCAGAGCTAGCAGTGGTGTGTCAAATCCTCGCTGTGCTTTTTTTTTTTTTTTTTTTTTGAGATGGAGTATCGCTCTGTCGCCCAGGCTGGAGTACAGTGGCGCGATCTCGGCTCACTGCAAGCTCCGCCTCCCGGGTTCATGCCCATTCTCCTGCCTCAGCCTCCTGAGCAGCTGGGACTACAGGTTCTCACCACCACGCCCGGCTAATTTTTTGTATTTTTAGCAGAGACAGGGTTTCACCACGTTAGCCAGGATGGTCTCCATCTCCTGACTTTGTGATCCGCCAGCCTTGGCCTCCCAAAGTGCTGGGATTACAGGCGTGAGCCACCGTGCCCGGCCCCTGTTGTACTTTAAATCTCTGTGACTTTTCCTTCTGTCGCCAACTGGTGAAAACTCGCTGTGTTTAAACGGACTCATGTAAGTAGGTTATGCTTGCCCAGGTAATCACCCTGTCTTGAGGTCCGCTGTGCCATATAGCATAATATAATTATGGGAGTGATATCTCGTATTCACAGATTCCAGAAATTAGGGAAAGACATCTTTGAGGGCGATTTGTAAAATTCTATCTACCACACTCCTGCAATCTGGTAAAGGTCTGGTTTAGATTATTTCTTGATTTATCTTCTAACTGTAGAATCCCTATCATGGTGAACACTAGCGCAAAAAAGGAAAACATAAAATATAGCACTTATAAGGTACAAAAAAAAAAAAGAAAACAAAAAGAAACACACACACACACAAAACAAATCAAAATTACCGGCTCAGCAGCCTCATAGTTTAGGCCTAATAGCCACAATAATTAAATATCACATACCCTACTTTAGGGTTTGGGAGGTGACAGAAGGGAGGAAAAATTGTAAAAATCGCATGTGGTGCCATGACAATAACTGTAATAGGTCTTTCCATTTTGTTGACCATCAGGAATTCGAGAACACAACATAACCAATGTCTGTTTATGTTGGTTTGTTCTCTTAGTTACAGGTAATAAAATTCCTGGTGCAAACTGATTTAAGCATGTAACCTGAAAAAAAAAATCCATTAGGGAAAAAAATTTTCCTACATGGAAAATGGCTTTTCCAACATTTTTCAACTGATACTTCTCCAACTTTTCTATTTTTCTCCATCTCAGTTCTGCCTTCAGGAGGCTTGAAGAAGGAACATGATGTCAGCAGCTTTGTCTCTTAAACTTTCTCAGATTTCAGATACATACGAACCTACCAGAAGTATGTACCAGCAAAAGTCTCATGAATTACTGGTCTCTGAATTACATACAAGTATGTATCAGCAAAAGTCTCTCAATTACACAGCATAAGGAAATTTTGGTCAGTGACAGACTGCATAGACAACAGTGGCCTCATATTTTCCTGTACCTTAACTATGTTTAGATACACAAATACTTGCCATTGTGCTACGGTTTCCTGCAGTATTCAGTACAGTCACATGCTATACAGGTTAGTAGCCTAGGAGAAATAGGCTATACCATATAGCCTAGATGTATAGTAGGCGATACCATCTCAGATTTGTGGAGTACGCTCTATGATGTTCTCACAATTACAAAGTCGCCTAGAAGCATTTCCCTGAACTTATTTGTTAAATGATGTATGACTGTTTAAACAAAGCCCTTTTGGGAAGGGTTCTTTATGATGTGCCAGTTGCCTTAGATCCAGGTCATGTGCACCAACACTAGACTTAGGGGTGGATCCAGCTTCACTGGAATCACATGGACTGAGACTAAGAGGTTGCTGGTTCTCACACAGAAACTAAGGTCAGGTTGCCAGAGGATGGTGAAGGATACTGAGCCGCACAAGAAGCAACGTCCACAACCGTGTCTTTCCTATTCAAAAGATATTTTTGTAGATATGTTTGATATCTATGGGTTGTATACAGATATTTCAACTCACCTGCTCACTAGTGTGAAGCGGTCATAGTGGGCTGGAAAAAAAAAACAACAACAAACCTTGGATAGCTATTTGATTGGTATTCAAACTATGCTTTAGGGAACCTCAGTATCCTGCTACTAAAAATGAAGACAGGGAAGACTTGGACCCATTCACAGAAATAATTGTATAGATCTTCCTTATTTTTTTCACAAAGACATTTTAAAAATGACTTTGGGACTTGCTGGCATTTGTTTATTCTAGAACTTAGTATAAGATGGTAAGGTGGTATCTGGTCTAGCAAAAAATCGGATATGTGGTTATTACAAATTAATAGGTTAATATTTTACTACATTCTGTGTGTTCCGTTACATAAACAAGTTTTGAATTATTGATACAATCCTCTCTCCTCAAATTGCAGGCCCAAAGAAATTAAATAATTTGTCTATGGCCACTCAGATAGTTAGCCAAGAATCCTAATATTGAATCTCATTCTAATACTTCACCAACCCCCATGCTTCATATTACAATATTGCCTATTTTATCCTGCATTGTTGGAGAATTTTATTGTTAAAGGAAAAGACAGTGAATAAGCAGGGAAAGAAAGACAAGAAGGTAGTTGCTGATGCTTCATATTGGATTTTACTGGAATGCAGCTTGTGTTTGTGGGGCTTCCCATAAAATCACTAACTTTACATGGTGTTCGGTGATAAAATCTTAAAATAAGACTTAGTTCTTTGTTCTAATATTTTATATGACATATAAACATAAAGTCATTTTGCTTTAGTGTTTTTACTTCTTTTATCTTTTAGACCATAATGATTTCTCCATAAAGGTCATCTAGAGGCAGTAAGATGAAATGGTCAAGAAGAGACTGGAATCAGACTATGAGGGTACAAATTCTACCCTTGACAAAATCTCTTTTTCTCTTGTGTTTCAGTTGCCCCTTCTGCCATATGAGGTATAATTCCTCAGTTGATAGTTGTGATGGTTAAGTGAGATAATATATGAAAATCAAGTGCCAGTATAGTAAATATAAGAATTAGGAGCACAGACTTGGGAGACAAAATCCCTGGTTCCGAATTCTTACTAGCTGTATGACCTTGGCCTATTTACTTAATCTTTCTGTCTCCACTTTTTCATCTGAATATTTTGAATAATAATTCCAGCCTTATTGGGCTGTGATGTGATTAAGTAAATCAATGTTTATAAGGCATTTGGAATAGTACCAGCACAAAGTCAGTGTAACGTAAGTTGCTTGATAAATGACTAAGTACTTAGAAATAGTGCTTGGGACCTAGTGCTCAGCAGAACAGTTATTTGAAGTGGTCCCCAGCCAAACCCCATCACTTTCTTTTATTTCCTTCCTGGACTTAGTGCTATATAAAATTGTCTGGTTTACTCATTTGTTACATCTTATTGTCTGCCTTTCTTTTGAGAATACAAGCATTTAAAAGTTAATGCCCTCCCTGAATGAGGACAGGGACTGTCCCAGATCTTTCACTCCTGTCCCTAAGAGCATGGAACAGTGCACAACACAGACACCACAAACTCAAGAAGTATTGTTGAATGAATTAATGATTAAAACTAACATTATAAGCATAAATACCCTTAATATATAATTGCTGTACTTTAAATGTAGTACTAACATGTGATAATGCTTCTGGATGAGCATGCTATAAATACTTTGAGCAAAACTTATTTGAGATATTTTCTCCATATGCAGATGAATACATATGATGCCTTGGTGCTTCACCACATCAACCCCAGAGGAGTTGCAACTTATTGATGCTATTGACCCAGCTTTTCTAGCTCACAGCTGTTTCCTGGTATCATGTCTGACCTCTGGAATAAGACAGGGTTTAAGACATTTTATTATTTGTTTATTGTTTTTATTTTTTTTCCTTCTGAAGTGTGGCTAACTGATAAAGTCAACTATAAGATTACCTTGTATTTTAGCACCAACATTTCTCAGATCTAGGCCCTAAAGGGTTAAACCCTTAATTATTGATGCAAATAATAGCAATTTATTGGTGCAAACGCCTTTTGTTTTTCAGTAGAAAATATTTGAACCTTTTATGGCTATCAGTTAGAATCATGTTTGAAATTACTAGCTTTAGTGTCAACCAGTAACTGGAAGAATTGTGGTTTCAATCTTGGGATCCAGAAGCTAAATCTAGTCTTCTTTTAACTATAACAGCGGTTCCCACACCAGCAGCATGCGCATCTCCTGGCAACTTGCTAGAAATGAGTTATCAGGTCCCACCCAAGTAGGATGGGAGTTGGGGGCAACAATCTGTATGCATCCTCCAGATAGTGCATAGGAAAGTCTGAGATCCATTGTGCAAATATTGTGCAAAAACACAAATATATGTAATTCAGCATTGCCAGGGGGATGACTGGAGGAGTTAAATGACTTTCATTTTTGTAAGACACTTAGTATTTATAACATATTCCGTTGCTTTTTTTTCTCAAGACATAGGCTCTGTTGTGTCTATTTTTACAGTCCTGTATTTTAATTTTTTTTTAGTTTTGACCATTTTTGCATAACCATATTTCTGTCTTCCAGTAGCCAATATTATTTTCAATGCCTTTCTGAAACTCAAACCACTATGGCTTGACCCATCTTTTTTGGATACCTGATAATGTTAAATTTTTCTTTTTAAGAGTTTATTGTTAGTCTTCATGCTTTGGGGTTAGGTTTTAATGATTGTAGCCACCTCAATAAAAATAAACATTCACATCAATTTATTCCTTATTCTCAGGAATGATAGAACTAAATCGCCTTTTATTTTATTAGTTTAACCAATATTTATGAAACAACTATCACGAGCCAGGTACTGTTTTAAGTGCTTCTTATTAACACTGATTTCCTGGTTATTTCTTTTAAAAGAGTAATTTTCAGTCAGCTTCTGTAAAAATTTTATGGCATAATACCCATTATCCTTGTGAATATCATATCATTCTTGAACCTTTCTGATGTTTTTTGTTGTTCCATAGGAACTTTATCTTAATTTTTAAAGGCTGTAAATCTATAATTTCTGACTCCTTTCCCTTTGTCTCTTTAAAAATAATACTGAAATGTACCAAGTGCCTACCATGTTGTTGGCGAGGACTTCATTTTGCACTTATTACCATATGAATTTAGGTATTAATATTATCCATAATTTACAAATTAGTGACTGAGAATGTAGTGAAGGTTGTTCAAGGTCAAAGAGCTAGTAAGTGGAACAATCAGGATCTGAAACAGTTGAAACTTAGAGCATGACCTCTTAAATATCATTGTGCATATTACATTTTAAAGCATTACATTTTGGTAACATTGCCTATTGCATTTAAATAATTCTTTGTATATGTCCCCTTAAAATTCTTTTTGTTGCATTTTCCTTTGACTGTTTTTCATTTCAAATCCTGAACTTAAAACAAAACAAAAACCTCTAATGTGTAAGGTTTAGTAGACTAAGGATCATAGCTTGTAACCCTACAGCATACATTACCTGTCATAGAGTGGTGGTTTAATGAGGGTAAAATAATAATTTTGGAAATAATTTTTATCATATTTATATTAATACATAACTATCCACAGCAAACAACTATATTAGATATCAACACTTGATTAGATATCAACATTTGAAAGTTACTTCATCAAATGATGAAATTAAAACTTATGAAAAAATTTGACCTTATGACATATGAAAAACATTTCTTTTGTAAGTCCCTTTTTTTCACTTTTACCTTCTAAACTTGCCTTCTAAACTTTCTTTATCTCTCTCTTCTCCCTCCCTTTTTTTTTTCATCAAAAGATATCTTTTCTTAGGTACATCCAAAGGAAAGCACTTCCAACAATAGAATTGTTCCCCAGGAGAACTGTCCTGTTGTTAGAGGATAGAATTTGAGTTAAATTCACTATTTGGGTCTTCAACCATGCTCCATGCCAGGAGCACTATTAACCACAAAGACACATTGACACAAATGGTAGAGAGCCTGCTGAGAGGCCAGAAAGTGAAACAGGTCAAACAAAATAATTTTTGGATACTTTCCTCTTCCAAAAATCTGTTATGAAATCTAGAATTGACCTCTAATGTATTTTATTTGTCAGTTGACCCAGAAAATCAGGACTTCATCATCATAACATCCATAGCACAAATTATTTTAATCCCAGAGTCTCCTCAAGTCTTGTTCTGTTTTTCAAAGATTTGGCAGAAATTACTAAACATGAAAGTATGCACAAAAAGTTGAAGTTACGCCAAGGAATCAGACATATTTTTCAGTTGGTTTAACAAATACAGTAAGCAATCAAGAAAATAAAATTAAGTATGGTGCTCAAAAGAGTGAAAAAAATTCACAAATACTCTCCAGGTATCCAAATGCTTCGTTCTGATATGTGCACTTAAATTCATTTTTTTCAAGTTTTTATGTGTGTGTGTGTATATATATATATATAATACTTTAAGTTCTAGGGTACATGTGTACAACGTGCAGGTTTGTTACATATGTATGCATGTGCCATGTTGGTGTTGCACCCATTAAATCGTCATTTACATTAGGAATATCTCCTAATGCTATCCCTCCCCCCTCCCCCAACAACAGGCCCCAGTGCGTGATGTTCCCCTTCCTGTGAAGCTGGAAAACATCATTCTCAGCAAACTATTGCAAGGACAAAAAACCAAACACCGCATGTTCTCACTCATAGGTGGGAATTGAACAATAAGACTTAAATTCATTAACTGAACCAAATTTCTACTTCTGCTCTCTGTTTTTCTAAAAAACACTAAATAAAAGACTATGCTTGCTTGAATCTCCTTTAAAACCATGATGAATTGTGGGAAATGGTTAGCTGAGATAAAATGAAAGTTAGAATTAAAGATAATCTTGATAAGAGAAATAAATATTTAGGCCAGGCGCAGTGGCTCACGCCTGTAATCCCAGCACTTTGGGAGGCCGAGGCGGGTGGATCACGAGGTCAGGAGATCGAGACCATCCTGGCTAACACGGTGAAACCCCGTCTCTACTAAAAAATACGAAAAATTATCCGGGCTAATTTTGTATTTTGTAAAAATACAAAAAATTAGGTGGCGGGCACCTGTAGTCCCAGCTACTGGGGAGGCTGAGGCAGGAGAATGGCGTATCCCGGGAGGCGGAGCTTGCAGTGAGCCGAGATCGCGCCACTGCACTCCAGCCTGGGTGACAGAGCGAGACTCCTTCTCAAAAAAAAAAAAAAAAAAGAAAGAAATATTTAGAGGCAGGCCAATTTTTCTTCATTAGGTAGAGCCTGGTAATCACTAGCAAAAACAAACAAATGTTAAGCTGCTAATGGGCACATCTGGCAAGGTAAGTTCTGGGACATCATAGTGATGGAGAATTTCAGGAGTCTCTGGGAAAAACCAAGTTTAGAAAACCAATTGGCTTTTATGCCTTTTCAATATGGCGCCATATGTGCACAATTATAGACCTATCAAGTAATCCTACTGCAACACTGGCTGAGGGAAGATTTAAAATGATACTGATGAAGTAAGCATTCCCACTCTCTACTTCAGTGAGGGTAGCTCTGCTTTAAGTGATGAGCTCCTGCAAAGGCAGTGTGGTAGAATGGTTAAACATGTAGGTGCTATAATCAGGCTGCTTCAGTTTAAATACTGGCTGATGACTTAGGAGTTATATGACCTTGGGCATGTTACTTACCTCTCTATCTCTCAGTTTTCCATATCTGCATAATAGTCATAATAGTAATACCTAACTCTTATGATAGGTTAGTTTATCATGTAATAGTTTATCAATGCTTATCATATAATAAGTATACCATAAATATCTATTTGAACAGAGTTCTGCTAAAAGAAAAAAAAGTAAATCCCTGTAACTATTAATTTTAAGATCATTACAGTTGACTCTATGTATCTGCAGGTTCTGCATCAGTGGGTTTAACCAACCTCTGATTCAAAATGTAGTTAGGACTATTTTGTATATAAAATATATAAGGGACTTGATTTTGGTATACAAAGGGAGTCCAGGAACCAATCCACCATGAATACCAAGGGACAAGTGCACATTGATTTTATTTTATAATCCTGTTTTACTAAATATTCATAAAGCCTGTATGTTGTGTTTGTGGTTTACATTTTTGAATTTTTTTGGGGTTTAGAGCAGGAGACAGGTAGAGAAGGCACTGCTATTAATGTGCTTTTTATAGTGTCTGTCACAGAGACATAGGTGGGTCAGGGCTTAGTGATGACTTTTTCAAAATGATACTGATGATGATTATCTCTAAGTAATGTTCAGGAGAACTAGGACTATTCCAAAAGAAATGAGAAAAATGAGCAGTGATTAAGCAGCGAACATAAATTTAAGAACATGCACAGAATATGGTGAACAGTTTTTGCCTTTCTCAAGTTCAGAATAAATAAGGAGAATAAATAAGCTTTCAGTTGAAGCACAGTCAACAAATGCCTATCTCTTGCCAGCTACTTTGCTAGGTGTGGAAAGATACAAGATCAGTCTTGAAGGAATATGTAGTTTGTCAGATGAAATATTCAGTTTCCATAGAGTAGAGCGACTTCACAGCGATTACTTAAAATAGAGCAGATTGGTCCCAAAAAGCTAGGAATTGCTTTACAAATAAAATGGGGGCATGTTGAAGGGGCACAGGAGCCAATCTGAAAAAATCTCTCAGTGGCCAAAGCTGGAACGATTTGAGCAAAACAATAAATATAAGCCACAACTTAAGATAAATATTTATGAATTTATACTCTTATAAACGCATCCTGAATAAATAAATGAATAGGAGAGAAGGAACAACTCTTTCTTACAGGAGAATTCCAGTTATAAATGTAGAAGGAATTAAGAAAATAGAAAAATCAACATCGGAACAGTATAACAATAATTGCTGTAAGCAAGATCCATCAGTGCAGGCTAAGATTAGTGAAAGTTTAAGGAAAAGCAAGACATTTTCATATAAGTTGTCCAAGTATTTATTAATTACTAAGGAAATATAGTTATTTTACAGTGGAGAAACATGGCAGAGAGCAAGTGATCAAAGGTAACATCACTGGTGATAAAACATTTCAGCATGTGCCTTCTGAGACGATGGGATGAGAAGGGCACACACAGCTCTGTGGTACTCTTCCCCTAAATCTGTAATCTCAGTTTAATTATGAGAAAACATTAGACAAGTCAAAAGTAAGGGATATGTTACTGATTAGTTTTCTTCAAAAGCATAAACGTCATGAAAGACAAGGGAAATTACTGACAAATTATCACAGGTCAGAGGAGACTAAGGAGACGTGATAACTAAATGCAGTGTGGTATCCTGGATTGGATCCTGGAAAAGAAAAAGGACATTAGTGGAAAAACCTAATGAAATACAAATACATAGCCTGTAGTTTAGCTAATACTGTCACACCAATGTTAATTTCTTAGTATTGATAATCATGCAATGGTAATGCAAGATGTTAATAGAGAAACTGGGTGAAGGATATATGGGAACTCTGTACTATTTTCACAGGTCTTCTGTAAGTCTAAAATTATCTCCAAATAAAGAGTTCAAAATAAAAGGAATTCTTTTAAAATTCTGAGATTACTTAGATATAATTCTGAAACAAAGCAATCACAAAAACTAGAATCTGCTGAACAGCTCTCACCTTGCAATTGTATAGAACTTTTCTGGGCACTTTTGCCTGGACCTAAAACATCCTCCATAAATGTATTATTCTTATCACTCCATTCACCAAACACTACCAAGGTGTGCTGAGTCAGTTAATGTGTATATAAAATGTATACAGAATGGATATATGAAAGTGAGACAAGGTGACTTTTTGTAGCACAAAGTAGTCATTAACAAAAATGCCAATCAGAATGTATTTCATGACAAGATAACTTTCTACAGTCATGGGTCCCTAAATGACCCCATATATTCTGTGAAATGTATCCTTAGGCAATTCTGACATTGTGCAAACATTGTAGAGTGTACTTACACAAACCTCAATGGTATAGCCTACTACACACCTAGGCTATACAGTATAGCCTATTGCTCTTAGGCTACAAACCTATACAGCATGTTAATATACTGAATCCTGTAGGCAATTGTAAAAAAGTATTTGTGTATCTACACATGCTCAAACATAGAAAAGGCACAGTAAAATTATGGCATAAAAGATAAGAAAAATGAGACACCTGTATAAGTCACTTACCATGAATGGAGCTTGTAGGGCTGAAAGTTGCATTGGGTGAGTCCAAATTTGAAGATCTAGGACATTATTGTACATTACTGTAAACTTTATAAACGTTCACTTAGGCTACAGTAAATTCATAAAAAATATTTTTCTTACTTTAATAATAAATTAACCTTAACTTACTGTAACTTTTTTACTTTATGAACTTAAATTTTTTTAACTTTGACTCTTTTATAATAATTCTCAGTTTAAAACACAAACACATTGTACAGCTGTTGAGAAATATTTCCTGTCTTTATATCTTTATTGTATAAACTTTGTATTTTTAAAGGTTTTTTTTTTTTTTTTTGAGACAGAGCCTCACTCTGTCGCCCAGACTGGAGTGCAGTGGCATGATCTCGGCTCACTGCAACCTCCGCCTCCTGGGTTCAAGCAATTCTCCTACCTAAGCCTCCTGAGTAGCTGGGATTACAGGTGTGCACTGCCACACCCAGCTAATTTTTATATTTCTACTAGAGACAGGGTTTTACTATGTTGGCCAGCTGGTCTTGAACTCCTGGCCTCAGGTGATCTGCCTGCCTTGGCCTCCCACAGTGCTGGGATTGATTACAGGCATGAGCCACTGTGCCCGGCCTGTAGACATTTTTACTTTTTAAATTTTGTTAAAAACTAAGACATAAACACACACATTAGCCTAGGCCTACACAGGGTCAGATTTATCAAGTTATCACTTAAGTGATAAGAATTTTTCAGCTCAATTATGATCTTATGGGACTACTGTATATCTGTGGTCTGTTATTAACTAAAATGGTTGTTATAAAGTGCATAACTATTTTTTCATTTAACGTATTAGTTTAGGTTACTGTGATATTTGAAACCTTCAAATAATTAATAGCTATGCCCAACTGGGAAATATAATTCCTCAGAATTTATCTTAAGCCAAAACTTAAGATAAATATTCATGAATTTATACTGTTATAAATGTATACTGAATAAATAAATGAATGGGAGAGAAGAAACAACTCTTTCTTACAGGAGAATTCCAGTTATAAATATAGAAGGAATTAAGAAAATAGAAAAATCAAAATCAGAACAGCAGAAATTAGGATAGATGTTAAATGACCTGAAAATAGAAACAAAAATAAGATCATGTAAAACAGAGTATATAAATAAATATATATGTAATTATATGTGTGTGTGTATGTGTGTGTATACACACATAATTTTTTCCCCTGGTAAGTTGTTTATAATTTCTTTTGACCAAGGTTTAAGTTCTTCCTCTCTACACTTGAAACAGACTTTTTTGGGCCAGCTTTGTAGCGTGGGCAATTTTTGTGCCTGTAATTATCAGACAACATACAATCTTGTGCATAAATCATTGCTGCTGCAATTATCTCATTTACCACTTGTGCCCTGGAGACAGATGAAACTGCCCCTCTCTAAACAGCTGGGATGGAATTGCTGGAAGGGCTGTCCATCCTTTTTTTAAACAGCCAAGGCCTCCCACCTCTGCCAGGTGTGTCTTTTTTTTACAAGGATTAGGGGAAAAGCAGGCGCCGCTATCTTTTAAAATAGATCCACTAAATTGCAGGAGTTGATTATGTTGGATCTAAAAAGAGTAAGGTAATTGTCCCGAGGTACTTGCAAGCAGTTTGGATTTATTTTATCCTCCTGTTAGCTCTTTCAACTCCACTTTGCTGAACTAATTAAAATAAGAAAAGGAAAAGAAAACTGTCCCCACAACTTCAAACCAACTCTCTTCTTTCAATGGGAACAAGAAAGCTCATCTCTAATTATAGCAAAGGAATGATAAATCTGTCCAATCCATTTGTTGTTTGTATGCCTGTTATTTGTATGGTTACCTCAATTACACCTTCAGTTTCCATTTTCATTTACACTGTCTCATTAGTATTTTTCCCTACAATTTTTTTTTTTTACTGAGGCATATGTATGTATGTATCATAATTGTATAATACAATTATGTATCTGAGGCATGATTGTATTATATCAATCTGACGTGTTATTTGTTCATTTTGTTTCTCGATTATGCATATGGCTTCTTTCCATAGCAGTCTAACTTTTTAAAGGAAATTAAATCAGAAACATTAGGAAATACAATATTCCTACAAGACATGAGCTGGTGAATTAAAATTAAAATATACCATGTCACATAATATTAGTACTTAAAATGTTGATGGAAACTAATTGTTCACTTGTTATGACCTATATCCTTTTGATTTCTGAGTCATTAATCTGAAGCAATATTTCTTGGGAGTTCATTTAGATCCTGAGATCTTGATCTATATGAACTTTGTGGGCCTCTCATTTATTTGATGGACATATAAAATGCAGGTGATGAACTCAGCAAGCCAAATTTCATAGGGATTTGGCCCCACTTATCAGCCTCCAAGCACAAAGGAGGTTGACTAAGGGAAGTCTATTTCTTTATTGTATTATTCTCCACAGAACTGAGTTTATATGCAGAGGTATCATTGTGTCACTTGATTTAACTAAATATATACCACTTAGAAAAATATTATTTACAGAATATCAAACATATTAAAATGTCTCGGTACATTTGTAGCATAAGATCACATAATTTAATTTGTCCATAATGACTTAAAAGAAAAATATAATGGCTGTTTTAGAGTTACAGGCTCTACACTACAAATGTCATTGTCTCTCTAGATTGTTTGTTATTCCAGCATAGATTGAGGTTCAATGCTTATTTGAGAGAAAATTTCTTTTTCATTTCATAAGAACCTAATAATGTGATGATTAAATTATTTTCACAATATTGCTGGCTTTCTTTATAGTAATAAAATATGATATATAGATTTAACTATGATTCCAGAAATAGTATTATTGTATAAGACATAGAGATTTGTCTTATACAATAAGTGTGTACATTTTTACCACTTTTCCACAATAAGTAGTAAAAATAACATCTGTAGGACACATTTTCAGTATTTTGCTTTTCAAATTCTTGTAAGATAAACATTATAAAAGCTTTAAAAATTGAAGTTATTACAATAAATCTCTCCAAAAAAGTATAATAATATCTAAAATTAGACTGTGTTAATTCTTAGTAAGTTACATACATAGCTCTTTGATCTCAGATATTTTAACATTACCAGGTTAGGGGATTTTTTTTCGGAAAAGCACAATGATATGGATTTGAGAAGTCAGTAATGAAAACAAAGTTTTACATATTTATCATTTTGAAAGAAAATATTAATTTCTAGCATTTGCCAATTCTTCTGAGTTTCAAAAATGACAACCTGTTAGTTCCTACCATTCTACTACACTTCTTTTAAGCCTTTCATGTAATCCTTACATGTTCGTGATTCAAAATTCTTTAATGAAGAACTATCCACATGTCTCCAATATTTGTAAGACTGCCTAAATGATAAATGAATCTGAAAATAATTCATCAGAAATTACAATTTGTAATCCTAACACTTTTTTATAAGGTACATAACCTTCACTCATACTCCGAGGTCAATATGTATTATAATTTTGTTTTCCTTAAGCTTATAAGAACTCAGATAAAAATAACTGGGTATAAGTGTGGTTTCCTCTGTTTCCTAGTCTCAGAGGGGGGAATTTCTAGATTAGTGGTTTTTTTTTTTCTTGCCCTGGGAAATATACAATTCTCTATGTTATGGCCATTAATGTTCAGTAATAAGTTAGTCCTCAAATACCAATAAGATGATGTGAGCTTGATGGAAGTTAAATGTCTCTAAATCCTATGAATTGATCTGCAGGAGCTGTTTTCCACATGAGTGGTGGCTTCACCCAGGCAGACATCCGCAAAGCCGTGGAGGTCAGGGTGATGGAGGAGGAGTGGGCTTGGCGGCACATATGCACTCTATTCCTGACAGTGTCTTGCTTCGGCAAAGGGAAGTGAAGCGCGTGTACCATGCTCAGTGGCATTTCCAAATGCAACTCAGCTGGGGGCCCAGGCTTATTGCATCAATGGCACATACCAGGCAAAAAAGGAAATACATAATTTTGTCAAAGTAGTAGATCACAATCTACCAATCCTTCCCTCCCCCTTCAAAATCATCACCCCCACACGCTAATAGCTCTAATAGACACAGACTTTATGCATATTTCAGTCACAGCAGTATTTCTAATGCATATGTGAAAGGGCCCTTAATTTATGTCTACCAACTGTGTGGTGCCCTTCTTTTGGGTAATGTCATCATCCTAATGGTGTTTCTATTATACTCAAAGGTAGTAAATGAGGCTTATTGCAAGAAGGTAATTGATTTTCACTGAGTGAAAATGTAAATAGCCATAAGAAATCCTATGAAAGATAAGCAGTTCAAAATTGCCAGGAAAAAAAAATGATTTGTATACATGACTTATTGGTCCAAGTATATGAAATCTTTTTTTTTTCAAGTCGATACCCACAATAACTATATTTCACATCATTTTATTTCAAATTGAAGTAAAAATTGAAGAATTTTGATGATCTTACAAATTTTACCAGTTTAACTGTGTATATTATGAAAATTATCATCTTACATGGAGGGGGGCTTCCTTTTGTCAGTGTGTCTCTGTAATGGATACCATGGAAATAAAATTCCTATTATGGATATGTAAAGATAAATAACTCTTCTTTGGCCTTTCTATAGTAAGAAAAGTAAATATCTGTATCAATAATGTATTCTTTTAAAATATATAAGACAAAACCTCATTGAAAGTTAACACGAATGTCAGCCTCATATTCGAGAAAAAAGCAAAGCTCAAAATGCATTTTATTGTTATAAAGAAGTATCAGGTAGAATCATGTGGCTTAGAGACTTGATTTGATGTGAATACAGAACAGTATTTTCTCATCAATTACATATCATTCTAAAATTTATAGTAGTGAGAGAAGAACCAAAACAACATAGAATATCTGAAACAAAATATTTGTTTGCTAAAATAATGTCAATTTAAAAAATATATATTAAAGAGCTTATAAAACTATATTTGTCCCCTCCACAAATGAAATATCATAGGCATCTGCACACTGATATCATAGCAAATATTACTTACATCACCATTGTTTTCTCAGTCTAAAAGATACCTTTCTTTAAAGAGCCACTTAACAGAAACAGAACATTTTAAGCAGAAAAGTCTTCTTTTTCTTCTTGAATTTTGTGTAATGGCAATTAAAAAATAGATTGTATTTTTTTTCCACTCCTGGTACCCCGTTTTGCTTATGATTGATAAGGAGCTTTTATTTCAGGAATTATAAAATATGTAGTGAGAATGTTTTTGATTTCTTGCCTTAGAAGTTCACTTGTTTTGAAAAGAAGGTTATCATTTGTGTTGATCTTTGGGTTGGCAGACGGAGAGATTTGATAAATTTTATTCCTGCAGGAGAGTAGGAAATGGAACAGGAAAAGAATCCAAATTTCCTCTCACTGATCGAAGTTTAGAGGTAGCAGTTCTTTTCTTTCATGTTCAACATTGTCATCGTAAAATCTTAGCATCTGTTTTACTCTTCATAACATACTTTTTGGCTGGAGGCAGGTCATACTTAGCTTAATTCAAACAGGGAGTAAACTGAAAGCGTGTTGACTTACTGCACAGTGCTATGAACAAAATATACTCTTTAATGTTAATTAATCTCCAACTAAACCCTTTAGTTTGCCACAGTTTTAGATTTAAATAGACAAAACTCCCTGGTGATACAGAGCTATCATTAATCACACACAGAATGATGTACAAAAATTCCTCTTAGTAGAAAGCCCATGTTCAAAATAAGAAATTCAACTTTATGGGGAAAACACAATCTTGTATGTTTATTTCATTAGGAAAAAAACATCAAATAGGTTTATCACAGTGTGACTTTGCAGTTTCCACATTTCAAATTTGCTAGTCTATTTGAAAACCCAGGTCTTTGTTATGTTTTCTCTGAGTTTTTACTACCTCAGATTTATCATGCTGTGAGTAAATAATGAAAACAGGAATGGTTTAAAGGCTACTAAATAATTACTATATTCAAATGTGAAATTGCAGTAAAAAAGATGGACAGGGCATCAGTAACTCTAGTTAGCGTATTTGATAGGGAGTGCATAGTGAGAAGAACTGTAAATGATACTGACAAATATGACTCTGAACATTTCGAGAAGACATTTGTTCTATTACTGATAATCTTAAAACCTTTTAGACAAAGGTAAAATTGGACCACTAAAAAAAGTATTTGGATAATATACAAGAGGGTCTGTATTATTCAAAAACAATCTCATGGTTTTATGCATTTGTATTAAGAATGTTTATTTTGGTTTTATTTTGAGATGCTTTTAGGAATTAAAAGTTATTTTAACAACTTTATCTGTGTTAGAAAAAATAGCTTTATTATATGTTATTTATAGCATCTGAAATCAGATAATATTTTGTTTTACAGACTATATATCATTGCATTATTGTTTTTTTATACTAATTATGTGCTTTAGATTATACAGAAGGGCATATCTATGAGATATGCCTTTCTAAATCTTGAGTGTAATAATAGGTACAATTTTCTTTAAGACTGAGGTGAGAATATCGTTGCAATATGTAACTGTGGTTTAGTCACAGATCCTGAAAACTTTAATTCAGGTGCATTGTGGGCACATAAAATTTGAGTTCAAATGCTTTTAAGAAGTCATGCCATTTTGTCATTTGACACTAATTTTCAACCCAGCATGCTTTAGCAATGACTGAAATTAGTTCCAAGTGAATTACAGCTAAGCTATTTTCTACCATCTACAAGAAGTTTTTTATGCCAACTGAGTCAAAAGAGGTTTTTGAAATTGTTTTTACCATGTATTATGGTATGGATATCATCAGTGTAGATAATCAAATATCCTGATTGTACACACGATTAAGATGTCACTAAGTTGCTTTTTTGGCTAATATTATTCAACCCTATTTATATTCTTATTGATCAGAAAAAAATATTACTTGAAATTATCTGCTTTCTTTCCAAGTAATCAACAAGTGTTATTTCTGTGAGGTTTATGGTATACATTCTGACCCCCTGGAAAATGGGCTAAAATCATTTCCTGCATGACAAAGAGTTACCATTAAGTATGTCAACTATCTGCCGACTTAGAAAAAGTGTTCTTTGGGGATATGTATCAGGCCTCATCCTTTGTGCCTTTAACACACAGTGGAGACTTGAATTTTTATGAGAGTTGGAGGCAGAGAATTTAGGCAACATGAATATTATGAAGAGATATCATTTGACTATAAGGAAACAGAAGTTTCTAGTCCTTAAATAAAATTGGACCTTAAGCACATGAAGGGTAGCTATTATGAACTAATTTGAATATTTTGAATCTTCATTTTTCTTAGTTTGTAAAACGAAAAGGACTCATGTTGGATAGAGATTTGATGTGACTTCCATATTTCATAAATGATGCAAATGATGTTGGTTTGGTTAGTACTTATGTAATAGTAACTACACAATGATGGGAAATTTAGGAAGTATGCAATGAAGTTGAAGGTACCGAATTCCACATTTAGGGATATAAACAATAGTTAAATATATAGTACTTCATTGCTGTAGAAAAAATTCAAGGGCAGCTTCATAGAGAGGGTTGCTGTGCTTTAAGGACTGAACATAGTAACAAAGTATAGCAAATGAATTAAGAAACTTTCTAAAATATAACTTTTCCTTAAGTAATATTTTTTCCATCAAAAAGGCTAGAGTCTCATAATTTTGTGTAAAGTTTGGCATTTATATATGAAGATAGTCTTCCTTTAACATTCAAAATATTCCATTGTGATAATTTACATGCTCTAAAACTCTACCAGTAGTTTAAGTAAATAAATAAGTAATAAAAAGCGCATCAAAGTAGTTATGACGAGACAGCCAGATGGCAGAGAATTGCAGCACTTGCTGTAATTTTATCAAAATTACTATTGTCATGGCATGTTAGTTTTCATAAGAATTTGTACAGTCACTGATCTCATACAGACAAATTAATTTCAGGTTCTCTCATGTGTAGTCACATAACAGCTATACTTGAGCACGCACAAAAGAAAATTAAATAATCATAGTCACATAAACTTGAAAAGCCGCACAATATCGTAAGTTTACTATTCCATAACGTCTTGGGATTGGTGATCATTTCTGTTATGTTAGACTCAAATTGATCCACAGTGGAACAGCCATTATGTAGTTTCTGCTATGTTTAGTCTTCATTATGTAAAGGTACGGTGTCATGTATTCTATTAGTGAAGAATTGTTATTAAGGCAGTAATGTTGTAAGTCCTATATTTATGGCCTTTCTGCAAGTTTCATTTTTTATCTCTCTCTTTTTTGTCTAAAGGGATAACAGAGCTCTTTATGCTTCCTTTTAAAGATAAATACAGATACAAATTCCCAATGATTAATGAGTTTAAATGATATTTGAATTAAGAATGTTTATTACAGGTTTCAAATGTTCTCTTTCCTTTCTTTGTCAATAGTTATGAAAAGAAAACCTGGCACTTTCTGCATTTTACATAACTCTTGCTGTTCATATCCAGCTAAAAAGCTTCAATTCTAAAGGCTTCTTCCTGAAGTCATTGATTTTTATAGCCTCATTCCATACCTCAGTTCTTTCTGCTGTGCCATATGCCACCATGTATCAGATTGGCTGTATTATTATTACACAGTAGGCCTCAGTTTCCTCATCTGTGAGATGAATGCTTATTTGCCATATTTATTGTGTAGATATGGGAGATTATGATGAGAATTAATACTCACTAGAGTAACTTTTCATTTTTATGACCTTAAAATTGAAAAAACAAACATTTTATTACCTATTCCAATTATCTTAAGCAACTTACTCAAGCAGGTATAAAATGTATCACCTGGCAAAATGAGAGCAGTCATGAAGATGTTAGAAAAAGTCACATTAAGCATTTTCTTTTTTATTTTGTTTACCAAAAAAGTTTAACGTTTGATTTTATACTTTTGCCCCTAAACAGGAAGATTGGCTTAGTTCATTGAATTTTACTCCTCTGTGCTCAAGGGCTTTGTGGTTTTAAATGTATACATAGCTTTTATTTCATAGTGTTTTTATATTAATAGTAATGGATGTTTTAAGAAATTCAAATGTGTAGACTTTAACTTCTGAAATATATGTAGATATTGTTTTCATATAGAAAAAAGTTATTTTAGAATGTTTGTGGCTTTTTGAGTTCAAGCACTTGTTCTACTCTCTTTTTCTCAGCAGATGAGATGGGAGCTTTAATATAGGTCTCTGTTTTGGGAAAGGTTATAATAGAAGTAACCTTATATTTGGAAGTACTTACTTCCATTACAAGTAACCTTATAATGGAAGTATACTCTGTACATGTTGTTCTATGGTAGTTTAAAATGTTACTTTTCTCTTTAAGATACCAATCATGTTAATTCTCAGATACTTTAGTTGAAATTACTATAGATAACATAATTCATACTCAGAATTATGAAGTGATACATATGGCAGAATGCCTCTGAGTTCTATTACTAAGTTATAGCTTCAAAAATTAAATGAGATACTAGAAGTTTATAACAGAGAAATTAATGGAAATGCAGACAAAGATATTCATTACAACATTATTAAGGGTAATAACGATTTTGAAACAAGGCCGCGACCATGGGGGCTAAATAAACCATATTTCATCTATTCAATGAAATATTATGAAACACTAAATAACATTTTCCAAATAGTTGTTAATAGTATGGGAACTTGCTTATGCTATAATTTTAATTGATAATATTAGGACATAAAAATATTAGGACATAAAATGTATGTATGTCATCTAAATACATTTTTAAAATTCTAGAAATTATCATTTGGAAAGGACAGAATGAAAACATGCCACACTGTTGGAGTGGCTGCCTCTGGATGCCAGGACTACGGAGATAATTGCTTCTTTATATTTTTCTATATTTTCCTAGTATTTTACAATGAGCATGTAATGTTTTGTAATACAGAAAAAAGAATAAATGGGAAAAACACACATAAGATTTACAATATCACATATAATTTCCATTCCATATAATTCTTTTTAAAAAACATTATATAGTACTTTCTTTATTATGATATGTATTTTTACATGTCTTTGTTCCTTAAGATTGTGAGTGTGAGTTTGGAAACTATATCCTTTGTTTCTAACATGAGACCTGTAGATAATCGTTGCTTAGTACATCTTTACTGAATGAATGAATGATATTCCACAGGCATACATATTTTTACCTAGTTGTCATTCATATGCTTACTACTGCTGCTTTTTCTACTTACCATTGCCACATAATGCCTTTACATAAACTTAATAATGATAATTTAAATGTTATAATATTCTATGAGATTAAAAAACACAATCAATCATTATCCTATAGATAGATATTTAGGTCATTTCCTATTCTTGTTTTTATGGACAAAATTTCAGTGAATGTTCCTAATCATGTACCTTTGTGCTCCTAAGATAAACCCCTAGGACTTTACTCATTTTTCAAAAGGCATGATCATCTTTATAATTCTTGCTATATATTGTCCTATTGTTTTAGGTACAATTGGTAATATAACCAGCAACTAGTGAGCATATTGATTTCCTTCCCAAATTCAACTGAAAGGAATGTTTTAAGTTTAGCTCTTTTAGTTACATTTGGTGGATAATTTTAAAAGCTAGATTGCCTTAATTTGCATATATCTGATTACACCTTTCCATGTAATCTGTTTTTCTAATTATATTTTTCTTTATGTGAATTCTCGGTTAATATCCCGTTCTAAGTTTTTCGATTTATATATCCTAATCACTGATATTTTTCTGTATAATGATTTTGCTGCTAAAAATGAACAGCATTTGTCAGTACAACACAATAACATATTGTCACCCTTGTACAAATATGAGTCATTTGTATATTATTTATTATTTTAAAGTATGTAATTATATGTTTCTAGATTAGATATTTAGGCTATTTGTTTTCCTCTTTGGATCTTCTCTTTCTGCGTCTCTCCTCATTTTTCAACTCTGCCCTTCCCTCTGTTTTTACTTTTCTTACACTTACTAAGTGTCTTCCTCATTGTTCCTTGTTCCAACATAAGCCTTTGATTGCCCAGGATGGAATTGAGACGGCAGCCAATTACCATATTGTACTGCCATTCATATCCTACTGTGTTCTGTTGGTTTAAATGCCTGAAAAACCTCAAGCCTTTGTTTTAATTGGGAATCAATACATATATTATTACATATATGCATACACATGGATATATGCATGTATTTTTTCTGAGGGAAAACAACACATTTCTAATGATAACTTATTTGTCCATAATTATAAACTAAGGCAGGGGCTTGCCACGCTTCTGGACAGCTGGACATGAAGCTGAAGACTAGATTGCCTCCCTGTCATGCAATTACCTCGATTCTTGGGACCAACTCTATTGTTTATTGATCTTAATCCTTCCTTAGAGTGGAGCCTTTGCTGTGTGGTACTGATGAGCTAATGATATTTTTGGATTCTCACACTTTGAGTGACTCAAGGAACCTCTTCTTAGTTCACTGAAAGGTTGTCATGATGGGCAAATGATGGTTAAAACTTACAAAAGTCACAGTGTGACATTAGGACACCATTCATCCAATCCTTTAGTCACTACCATGAGTCTAGTAACAATCCAAATAAAGTTTAGAGAAAACATATTTCCTGCTTTTGAGGTACTTATAATCTAGTTGGAGGCAGGTGATGTGTATGGGGTGGGGTAGGTGTGTGCCTATACACACACACACACACACGAATAATTTATATTGATAAAGAGTAGATAGACATATAGATAGATAAACACATACCACACACACACACACACACACACACACACACACACACACACACAAACTAAAAGACACTAGATAAACAAGAAAGACTGTAAAGGTACCAATCTGTATGTTATAGAATTTAACATTAGGGGAATCAAACTAAAAATGAGGTGACATCAACTAGAGAAGGTCTCATGGGTTGAATTGTATCCCCAAAAGATATGTTGAAGTTATAACCCCCAGTACCTCATGTGGAAATAGAATATTTGCAGATATAATCAATTTAAGATGAGGTTATACCAAATTAAGGTGAGCTCCCATCCAATACGACTGGTGTCCTTTGAAGAAGAGGAAAACAGACAGAGACACAGCTAGATACACACAAAGGGAACATACTATCTGTCAATAGAGGCAGAGATTGAAGTGCTGCAGCTTGTAAGTCAATAAACACCAAGAGTTGGCAGGAAACCACCAGAAACTAGGAAGAGGCAAAAAAGAATTCTCTCTTATAGGTTTCAGAAAGACTGTGGTCTTGCTGGCACGTTGATTTTGGACTTGTAGGCCCTAGAACTGTGAGATATTTAATTTCTGTTGTTTTAAACTTCTAGGAAGATATGAGACTGTGCTCTGAATGAAAATGTGGTATTAGGGTTGGTAAAGCAAGGGGACTCCATGTGGAGAAAACTCATTAGCAAGGGAAAGAATGAGTGAGTAGGGACTGGATAAAGACTGGAGTGATTACCTGTGAGACTAGTGCAAGGTAAATTGAGGTAGATAAAGTGATCCTGCTGTTGTAAGGCCTTTGAAAACGTACAGTAGAATCGATCCATTTTATGCTCTCACTTATATAATAAGGGTTTCCTATTACTTATTGTACACCTAATTAGTAACAGGGAGCCATTTGGCTCCCAGAGTTATTTAAGAGGAAGGTTGGCTGTTGGACAGCACTTTCTATGCTTTTATTTTTCTTAACCTCACCACCAAATTTTTAAATTAGTTATCTTAAGTAGGTAGTTTATTTACATGGTTCAAAAATCAGAGTTTCAAACAGGTATATAATAACAATTTTTTCTCCTACACAGTCCCCTACCTTCCCTGTCAGGTCATTCCCACTTCCACCAAAAAATCACTCCCCTTAGTTACTTGTGGATCTTTGCAGAGATTTTTTTAATGCATATACAGGGAAATATGAAAGCATTCCCATTCATTCCCTTTGCACAAGTGGTAATATTGCATATACTGTTTGTACCTCACTTTTTTTCACTTAACAACACATTTGAGATTTTTCTGTATCAGTACACAAAATGTGCTCCGTTTTTACTTTTTAATGCATATTATTCCGTTGTATGGATGTACCATAATTTATTTAAGTTGCTTTCTAATGGTGAACGTTGAGGTTGTTTCTAGTCTTATGCTTTTTAAATCAATGCTGTCTCATGATTAGCCTTGTACTTTGTTCACTGCATATATGTATAAATACATAGAATACATTTTTAAAGTAGTTGGAATAAGGAAAAGGATATGTTTGTATTTAATTTTTACAGTTCTTGCCAAATTGTTTTCCAAAGAGTTGGTGCAATTTACACCTTCACCAGCAACATGTAAAAGTGCCTGTTGCATACATAGCTTTGATAATACAAGATATTACCAAACTTTGAACCTTTGCCAATTGGCAAGATTAAAAAAAATGGTCTGTCCTTGCAATTATTTTAAGTGGAGTGTTTTTTACATTTAAATTTTGTTTCCCTTTTTGGAAACAGTCAATATCTTTACCCATTTTTCTATTGGGATTTCAGTATTTTCTTATTGATTTTTAAGAATTTTATATAATGGGAAGTCACCCCTTTGTGATTTGAGTTACAAATATTTTTCCTGGATTATAATTTTTTTCGAGTTTACTTATAGTGAATAACTTCATGCAAAAGTTTACTTGGATTTTATGTGAGAGTTAGGAAGGCTTTCCCCACTTTAAAATTATAAAGTAGGAGAAGTGCGGTGGCTCATGCCTGTAAACCCAGCATGTTGGGAGGCCAAGGAGGGAGGATGGCTTGAGGCCAGGAGTTCAAAACCAACCTGGTCAACACAGTGAGACTCATCTCTATCTATTTATAAAATTTTAAAAAATTATAAAATAATCTAAGAGATATTTTCAAGATATACATTTATAGTGCTGAAAATGAGGAAAGAGAAGTGGCCAAAGATTACCTCTACATTTTTTAGTTTGGGAGTTTAAGAGATGGGGGAGAGTTGATCTAATGACTTAAGACAAACATCTCTATCTTTTTTAATGTGTGTTTTAGAGTTGTCATGGGTGCTGTTTTTGTTTTTCTAGAATTTTCTAGAGCATGAGAGATGAGGAGGCTGTATTTATGAGAATAAGAAATCGTCAGTGGGAAATCAACATTGACAATTAGTTTAAAAATAGTGTTTCAAAGGATCTGTGAAGTTGTCTGGCTTTGGAGGCTGGGAGAATTGACCAGAAGAGCTGTTTTATTTATTGATGGTACAGATAAAGATTTAATTTCTCATATTTTGATCTTTTATTTATTCAACTGACAATACTTATCCAGCACCTCTTGTTTACTTGATGTTATTAGTGCTGTGGCTCCAGTAACAGACAACAGCAACCTGGTCCACATCCTCACATAATTTGCGTTGTAGTTGGAGACTAAACAATTTACATGCTTACAGATTGCTACATGTTCCATGAAGGGGTTGAAAGGGAGATGGGATGAAGAGGAATGAGGTGCGTTATACAGCACAGTCAGGAAAATTTTCTCTCCGAGAAGGTGAGAGTTGAGCTGAGGAATTGCTGGTGATACAAAGACAGACTGGGGGGTGGGGGTCCGGTGAATGTGTGCTCTGGACAGAGAGATTAGCAAAGAGCCTGAAGCAAGGAGGGTCTTGGTTTATTCTAAATACAGAAAAGCAGATTTGACTGGAGCAGAAAAGCAAGAGGGAGAGCAATACTGCTGAGCATGGAGATCTGGATATTGTGGACTTGGCAGAGTTTGGATTTGATTTTAAGGGCAGGGAAGACAGTGAAGAATTTAAATGGGGCGTGACATGATCTAATTTTAATTTTTAAAAGATCATACCAGTTATGCTATTCTATCATGTGAGAAATTATGTAGAAAAGGATTTTAAAAAAATATAAAAACAATTCTTGTGGACATTTTTGCCATTGCTGGCAACTTTAAACATTCCTCTCCACTGCACCACCTCCCCACCCCACCCCCACATTAACCCTGGTACTCTTTAGATATCACCCTATTGATTTTTTCTTAGAACTTATCTCACTCTACAAACATATAATATATTTTATCTTCTTAATTCTCTAAGTTTCTCACGTCAAAGAACCATTATCTCCACAAACTTTGGCCATGTATTTGCCCTGCCTCATTTTGGCGCTCATCTTTAAGTCTTTCCATCTCTGAAAACTCTCTAATAATGATACTAATAGTAGAATCTACCATTTGTTGAGATCCTTCTATATATCTGAGCTGTTATACCTACCAAGCTCTTTCTCTTAAAAACTGCAAAACCCACTGAGTCTGTGTTATTGTAACTCTCATTTTATAGATGAGGATACTGAGATTGAGGGATGTGATGTAACTTTCTTAGGTCACAAAACAGCTGGCCACGTCAGGACTCAAGCCCAGGTCTATCAGATATAGAAAATCCATGATTTTCCCACTGAAGCATCTCCCTTCCCAACCATCTTATTTTCCATCTCTTGCATCTTTCGCCCCCATTCCCATACTGAACAATTGAGTCCCCCATCTCATCCTTATTCCATTTCAGCATGGCCTTTCTTGGTTGCAGTACCTATAAAAGCCACACCTTATTACCAAAGCTCATTTGCCAACATCTTAGAATTATCTGGCCCCTCCATTTTTTGATCCCCTCTGTCTAATTTCTTGCTGACCTCTGGATTGTCAGGATGTGGAAAAAGTCACAACATTATACTAAATATCTCTCATCATAAGTGCATGCTGTCTAATCTCATCAGAGCATGCCCCAGGAAAATGTTCTTTGCTTCTCATGGTCTCCTTAACAAATATTTCTTGGTAGCTTTTGCAAGCCTTTTTCTCAGTTTTCAACTCTCCAGATCCAAACCTTTCTTTTGTATTGTTACTACTGTAGTTAGTACCCTTCCGTGAGCCTTGGTTTTCTCACCTGAAATACAAAGATGGAGATGAATAACACACAGGGTTGTAGCAAACATAAAAGGACGAACCTGTGAGGAGCATAGGGCATCTGGCGCTTAGGAGCTTAGTAATGTTCACTGGATCTGAGATAAATACCAGTGACCTTGTCTTATCTTTTCTATTTCACAGAAACTGACACCTTCCTCTCGATGTCAAACTTAAAAACATGACAACGTTTTCTAGCTGTTTAAAAAATTACAAAATATGAGTCCCAGCGTTTTGAGCTTCTTTTATTAGAAATTTCTTTCAATACCCTCTGATTAATTTGTAAGACAAAATAATAGGTATAAACGCCATTAAACATTTGTTAACCTAATATTAACTAAATTCTTACATAATTGGTGGTGAGCTTGAAAAATGAAAACCATGATTTAGTTTGTTCAGCCAATGATGCATTTCTCCCATGTATACATATTTTTTTTTTCTGGTGGGTGGTGACAGTTTTTGGTTTTAGGCATGACAGTTATTAAAACTAAGTTACAAAATATCCACAGTTAAAAGGAGATCTTAGAACTTCTGTATCATGAAATGTCAAACCAAGATTATGACAAATAATGAAACATATCCGATCTTATTGCTTATTCAAAAATAACATTTTAATGATAATAATTTAGTGAGGCCGGGCATGGTGGCTCACACCTATAAACCCAGCAGTTTTGGAGGCCAATGTGGGAGGACCACTTGAGTCCACAAGTTCAATACCAGCCTGGGCAACATAGTAAGTAAGATCTCATGTCTACAAAGAAAATCAAAACCAAAAACTAGCTGGGCATGGTGGCATGTGTGCCTGTAGTGCCAGCTACTCAGGAGGCTGAGGTGGGAGGATTTTCTGAGCCCAGGGGGCCAAGGCTGCAGTGAGCTGTGATTCTGCCACTGCACTCCAGCCTGGGAGACAGAGCAAGACTGTCTCAAAAAAAAAAAATTAATAACTTAGTGAAAACAGATAGGTTTTTTTTTTTACCATTGATAAATAAAATAACTGTAGTTGATCCTTTTACAAATATTATTTTTTAAATTTATTTTTGAGACAGGGTTGATTAACACATAATTTGTATGTTGTATGTATTAAATATTATATTCTTACAATAAAATAAGCTAAAGAAAAGAAAATGTTATTTTAAAAATCACAAGAAAGAGAAACCATATTTACTATTCATTAAATGGAGCTACATCATCATAAGGTCCTTATCTGAGTATCTTCATGTTGAGTGGGCTGAGGAGGAAGAGGAAGAGGAGAAGTTAGTGTTGCTGTCTTCAGGGTGGCAAAGGAGGAAGAAAATCTGCATGTAAGTGGACCCTCAAAGCTCAAATTTGTGTTGTTTAAGGGTCAACTATACTTTAAAATACTGCTTTATTCTTTAGCTAATCTTTTTTTTACTTCTCCTGTTTTGTGTATAATGTATCTATATTGTACATGCCATATTGTTACAGTAGTATCTGCATCAATTAGCAAATAAATACATATTCACATTTTGGACTACATACCAAGTTTTTAAAATTATGACTGGACAATCAAACAATTTCTGGACTAGAGTATAAAGTCTAAGTTTTACAGCAGAGCATTTCGGGTTCATTTCCAATTATTTCTCCTGCATTCAGCCAGACAAAACAACTGACAGAAACTTAATATGACAGTGGTTTCCAAACTCTTGTGCATATTAGAATCACCTGGTGTGGGGAGTCTTTAAATAATCACAAAGCCTAGGTCGAACCCCAGACAGTAAAACACAATCTCTGGGGATGGGACACAGGCATCCCTATTTTTGAAGCTCCCATGGTAATTTAAGTTGCAAGCAAGTTTGGCACCCATGACACATGCCTTGGTGTTTCAAGCCTATAGGCCTTTGCAGGTGCTATTCCACCCACTGCTTTGTCCACGGAATGCATTCCTCTACTCTTCATTAAAGACTCAATTTAAATACCCATATATTTGAACCTTCTTTGATGCCACCCACCGCAACCCAAGTCATGTAGTCAGTTAATACATCTTCAGTTTTCATATAACACTTCATGTGATTCACTTTCTGTAGCCTAGTTATTTGTTTACATGTCAATCCTCTCCACATACCTGCTTTTATATATGTCACTACATTAAACTTCAGTGACATTATGTAACAAAAAGTGTGTTGAACAGGATATTTTAGCACAAACATTTCATGGCAGCCTTAAGGTCTGAGAATTAATGGAATCATGTTATCTGAGGGGACTCTGACACTTTTTCTTACTCATGCTACTCCCCTTTCACTACTAATTTAAGCAATTTAAAAGAACCACCATTTATTGAACACTTTCTATGTGCCATGCACACATTATCTCATTTAATCATTATTACTACCTCTTACGGGAAGTATTATTATTCCCATTTTATGACTGAAGAAACAGAGGCTCATAGAAACTAGATTAATACAAGGTCTCTCAGTTAAAAGGTGACACAGATGGGACCCAACCCCCCTCTTTCATTGTGCTTTAGTTTGTTTTCCCTTCTAAATCCTCAATCTCTAGATATAATTTTCCACAATATAAGATATTTAAGAAAATGGAGTGTATTTTTTATGGTATCATTTTGACCTTTGCATGTTAGACATTTAACAGCTTAGATGATCTTAATCAGTTAGTGATCTTAGGACCTGTGTGGGCTTCCTTCTTAATTCCTACCACAGAAGTCTCCACTCGGGCCCTTTACACAGTGGCTGACATCCAGTTGGCTTCACCCAATTGGAAATCCACTTAGGCCCTAACTTTGCAGCATCGATTAAAACTTATTAGAGAAAACTATTTCTACTGAAAATCAGCATCACAAAGCGTATTAAGGATGTCTTCATTCTTCTATCCAAACCGCCGCATTCATACCCTTGAAATAATCCTTTTCTCCAAATGTTCAGCAGTTATCTTTTCAGTAGAATTCAGGCTAACATCAGGCTTTTAAATTTCAGAAGATAATGATAGATAAAACTCATAAATGTTATAAGAGAAATATAGTTTTTACATGCCATCAGATAGAACACAGGTGGAGAGAAGATCAACAAGAGAAGAGGAAAATTAAGCAAGTAATAACATAAGCAGCTGGAGAAAGGGAAACACTGATGAGCAAGATAAAAGGAAAAACGAAGCATTTCAGTGAAAACCCATTATTACCAGGAAACAATTTTTAATATTGTTAAAAGCCTGTTTAACAATAAGAAGAGGACTTAACAACATTAACAAAATAAGGAAATTCTGTAATCCTAAATATAGCTAATATAGAATCAAGAAAAGGAGAATAGGCCTGGCACGGTGGCTGAAGCCTGTAATCCCAGCACTTTGGGAGGCCGAGGCTGGTGGATCACGAGGTCAGGAGATCGAGACCACCCTGGCTAAACCGGTGAAACCCCCGTCTCTACTAAAAGTACAAAAAAATTAGCCGGGCATGGTGGCAGGCGCCTGTAGTCCCAGCTACTTGGGAGGCTGAGGCAGGAGAATGGCGTGAAACTGGGAGGCGGAGCTGGCAGTGAGCCAAGTTGCGCCACTGCAATCCAGCCCGGGCGACAGAGCGAGACTCCATCTCAAAAAAAAAAAAAAAGAAAAGGAGAATGTTAGATGCTTTAAACCTTGCCATAATGAATGAAATTTAAATCACAGTAGAGCACTATCTAAAACATACTTTTCATTTGGAATTTTGGGATATTGGTGATTAGAAGATAAATGGATATTAAGATGTTGATCTCCCTTAAAAGTAGTGCTTGGATACAACTAAATACCACTGAGTGGACGCCTTATGGTTGTGCATCTAACTGATAGGCTGATGGTCATGAAGGATTATAATTAGGGTAGTGATTGGTAAACACCATGGAATAAAAATGGCTGGCATCATATCAATTAGAAAAAGTTAGCAGCAGGCTTTTAAGCTGGTTTTGAATAAGTAATATGTTCTTGCTATATAAAAATTACCCCAAACTTAGTGACTTAAAATAAGAAACATCTATGATCTGACATAGTTTCTAAGGATCCGGAATCCAGGAGCAGCTAGCTAGGTGGTTCTGTCTCAGGGTTTTCCATGAGGCTGTAGTCAAGCTGTCAAAGTTTCTGTCATCTGAATGCTTGAGTGGGGCTGGAGAATCCACTTCCAAGTTTATTCATGTGACTGTGGCTGTTGGCAGGAGACAACAGCCATTTGACCAGACATTTTCTGGTCAAATGGGGCCTTTCCACAGGGCTTGTAATGGTATTTCAGCTGACTTCCCCTAGGGTGAGTGATGAAAAAGAGAGAAAGAAACAAAGAGAGGAAGGGAGGGGAGGGGGGAGAAAAAGAGAAAGAGAGAGAGAGAAAGAGAGAGTGAGAGCGAGCAAGAGCTATGTCTCTGGTGTCTGTTCCCCTTCTTAAAAGGACAACTTATTATCCCACCCTTATGACCTCATTTAAGCCTAATTTCTTCCTTAAAGACCCTGTCTCCAAATACGGTCATATTGCATGTTAGGGTTTTGACATAGGAATTTTGAAGTGCCACAATTCAGTCTAGGAGGGAACTAGACAAGGTTGGAAATGCCAGGAGGCAGGGATCTTTGAGTGCTATATTAGAGGGTGCCTACCACAAGTGTAGTTGTGTCTCCTGGACTATTTCCTGCCCTGATGGTTTCTTGTGTCATTCAAACCAGACTCACCAAAAACCTTTCCCTTTTGGAATTAACTTTGGAGTTGGTTTGGATGACATTTTCTCAGGCTACTTGTAGACAAAAATGAAAGCATCATTAATACCATTCTATTAAAATATGGAAATTATATTATAAATTTACATGTATATTCATTGTGTGTATGGCCTCCCTAAATAAATATTCTATTATGTGTAAATAAGCAGTGAAGGGATTGTTGTACAGTTTTAAAACCATATTGACCTGCCACTGTTTTCAATAATATTCTCTTACGTTCCTGTGAACATTATCTACTGTATATATGAAAGAGCAAAAAGATCACTAAGCCCTTTTTTATGGTAAAGTAATTAAGATAGTTTTTAGAAACAATGAAGAAATGAGTACTTTTTAAGTTCTGAAGTAGTGATTTTGTTTTCTAAGGAGTGTAACAACATTTACTGAGCACTTATTATGCATGTGTAGACATGTTGCGTTACACTGGGACAAAAGGACAAGAACAAAAAGAAATAATCCCTTCCTTATGGAATTTGTCATTTGATAAAAATTTCTTAAAATTAAAAAATCTCCACTTATAATGTCTTTATTATGAATATTAAATATCTCCAGTGGAGCGCTCTTGAAAAGAAAAGGTTATTCAATAGTTTCAATACTAAAAATAAAATTAAGAAAGAGGTATACAATATGTTAGAAAGATATTTTACAGAAGGACAAACAGTGAATTAAACAGCAATGCTGGAGAAAGATCTGGTGGGTTTGTTGTTTAAAAAAATCAGATATTCAAACCAGCATAAAATAATGCAGAATACTGTAATGAACACCAATTACTGACTAACCAGCTTTAATAGAGTTTTAATGTGTTGACATATTGGCTTTACATTGTTTTTTTAGAAATTAAAAATCACTGCTATATTTGGAAATCCCAGTGTACCATTTCCTGATCACATTTCCCTTAGTCGTTCTTCAGAGTTTACCTATATTCTGAATTAGTGTTTATTATTCACTAATATTTTTATTATTGTTCTGTCAACAAGATATAGCATGGTTTTGCATGTTTTCAAACCTTATATAAATAATCTCCTGCTAACATACTATTTTGTTTCTTGCTTTTCTTGGTCGACATGTTTTTAAGATTTACTTATGGTTATACATTGATCTCTAATTCAGTTTAATTCCTGGATATCATTTATTTTATGAATACAGCACAATTTAAAAAATCTACTTTCCTGTTAGTGGAGATTTTCTATTTTCTTTCTTTTCTTTTCTTTTTTTTTTTTTTGTTGAGACAGGGTCTTGCTGTATCACCCAGGCCGGAATGCAATGGCACAGTCACAGCTTACTGCAGGCTCAACCTCTCAGGCTCAGTGATCCTCCCACCTAAGCCTCCAGAGTAGCTGGAACTACAGGCACATACCACCATGCCTGGGTAATTAAAAATATATATATTTTGTAGAGATGAGGTCTCACTGTGTTACCCAGGCTGGTCTCTAACTCCTCCTGGGCTCAAGTGATTCTCTCACCTTGGCTTTACAAAGTGCTGGAATTACAGGTGCAAGCCACTGCACCCAGCCTATTTTCAGTTTTTCACAACTGCATCTGGCAACTTGCTTTGAGATTTGTCTATAATAATGTATTAGAATGTTCTTACACTGCCATAAAGAAATACCTGAGACTGAGTAATTTATAAAGAAAAGAAGTTTAATTCGCTTACGGTTCTGCAGGCTGTATGGGAAGCATGGTTGGGGAGACCTCAGGAAACTTATAATCATGGCAGAAGGTGAAGAGGAAGACGCATGTCTTACACGGCTGGAGCAGGAGGAAGAGAGAGCGAAGGAGGAGGTGCTACACACTTTTAAACAACCAAATCTTGTGAGAACTCACTCAGTATCACAAGAACAGCAAGGGAGAAATCCATCCTCATAATCCAATCACCTCCCACCAGGCCCCTCCTCCAACGCTGGGGATTACAATTCGACATAAGATTTGGGCGGGGACACAAATCCAAACCGTATCAGATAACAAATATAAATCTATCTTTTAGTTACCACATAATATTTTACTATATGTTTATTACTAGTTTTACTTACTGAATAATTTTACAAATAGTGCTTCAGTGAATATTCCTTGACATGTCTTGTGGTGTGTGAGTGTAAGAGTTTCTCTAGCCTGGAGGTGGAATTACTATGAATAAAGCGCACACATACTTTCAACTTTATTTGTATTTTTACATAGCTCTCTAAAGTGGTTCTACTATAGCGTAGGGGATGATGTGTTGTCAGACTTGGCTTTTGCTAATTTGATGGATTTAAAATGGTACTTCATTGTTAATATTAATATTTATCATTTGCCCTTCTCTGACTACTGGTGAAGCAGAGCATCTTTTCACAGTTATTGGTCATGATGGCTTCCTTTTTGGTGAATTGCATATCCATATCTTTTACCCATTTTCTATTGCTTGTCTTTTTCTTATTGGCTAGAAGTGTTTATATGTTTTAGATAACCTAGAATGTTTTGCAAATATTTTCTCCAAAACTTGTTTTTGTATCTTTTGTTAAACAGGTTTTTAAAAATTTAGTAAGATTTATGAATATTTTCTTTCATGACTGTGCTAAATGTCTTTTAAATACTTTGAAGTTTGCCTTAATGCATTTAGGTCTTTAATCAATCTGGAATAGACTTTTGTGTGTGTGTTTAAGATAACGGGATAGAGATTTTTTTTAATTGCTCAATATTTCAACTATAGAGAAAAGTACAGAGGAGTTTTTTTGCATGTTGAATTAATTGTTGCAGCACTATTTATTGATGAGTCCATTATTACCTCACTAAATTTTTAACATCACCTCTGTCATATATCATATTTCCATACATTCATGAGTGCATTATTTTCCATTGATCTACTTATTTGTTTAGTAGGTTTTTTAAAAAATATAACAAACATTTCAATATTAGTTTACATATTCTAAATATCTATACGGTATTCATGATGAAAGCAAAAAACAAAACTAATTTAATATAACTCCAAGAAATTCTGGTCAAATTAATATTCATGTATTTTAAGTTTTATACTATTAAATGTTTATAGATTGCTTTTGAGAATTTATCAAGACAAAAATTATTTAAAACTTAAAAATGGAATACATTTACAGTATTTCTCATTAAAAACATTTTTCACTAGAAATTTGGTTAGGTCAGTTTATCTTTTGTGAAAGACACACCATAAAGTGACCTTTAATGAGGTCACCTTCTTGTTCCCTGTGTAATGCCCTCCCTTCAGTGTGAACAAATCCTGTGACTTGCTTCCAACAAATAGAAAATGGCAAAGGTGATGGGATGTTATTCTGTTGCATATCATCATTACATATCATTACATAACATTATTTGAGGCTCTGTGCTAGCAAACTAGAGTGGGACACTTTCCTACTGGCCTTAAAGGGGCAAACTGCTATAATGTGAACTGCCTGCGGAGAGGTCATATAGCGGGCAACTGCAGGTGGCATCTTGAAATCAAAGTCCTCAGTCATGCAGCTGCAGGGAAGTGAGTTCTCCTAACAACCTGAGGGAGCTTGGAAGTGAATTCTTCCCAGTTGAACCTCCAGATGAAAATGCAGCCCAGCTGACGTCTTGATTGCTGCCTTGTGAAACACTCAGCAAGAAGACAGCCAGGCTGTGCCTGGACTTCACACTTGTGATGGTTAATTGTATATGTCACCTTGACTGGGTCACAAGATATCTGTCAGGGTGTTTCCAGAAGAGATTAGCATTTGAATCAGTGGACTGAGTGAAGCAGAGTGCCGTCATGATATGGGTTGGCTGTGTCCCTCCCAAATCTCATCTTGAATTATAGTTTCCATAATCCTCACATGTTGGGCAAGGGACCCAGTGGGAGGTAATTGAATCATGCTGTTCTCATGATAGTGAATGTGTTCTCACAGGATCTGATGGTTTTATAAGGGGCTTTCCCCCCTTTGCTTGTCAGTCACTCAGTCCTGCCGCCTTGTGAAGAAGGTGCCTGCTTCTCTTTTGCCTTTTGCCATGACTGTAAGTTTCCTGAGGCCTCCCCAGCAATGTGGAACTGTGAGTCAATTAAACCTCTTCCCTTTATAAATTACCGTCTCAGGCAATTCTTTATATCAGTGTGAAAACGGACTAATGTACCTCCCCAATGTGGATGGATGTCATTCAATTGGTTGAGGGCCTGAGTAGAACAAAAAGCAGAGGAGAGGGGAATTTGCACCCTGCCTGACTGGTTGAGTGGGAACAGCAATCTTTTCCTGCCATCACACTAGGACTTACACCATCAGCACTCCTGATTCTCAGGGTCTCAAATTTGGTCTGTAACTACACCACCAGCCTTCCCATGAAGATCATGGGATTTCTCAGCCTCCATAGACATATGAGCCAATACCTTATTTTACACACACACACACACACACACACACACACACACAAAGAAACTGTGAGACAATAATTGTGTGTGTTGCTTCAAGCTACTCAATTTGTGATAATTTGTTATGTAGCAATAGAAAACTAATATATCTTTGAGGCCATTGATACTTGAAACAGACTTCTAAGCTTATCAATAAATTTATAAATATGCAGGAAGAATGAATGACCTTGGATATGAACTATTATACCTTCAGTTGTTCTTATTTATTTTAAAAATAAAATAAGTCTTTTTGGCAGGATAAAGGTTGATTTCTGATTTATTTGGATTTGTAATTTGTTTCCATAAAGCCTTTTTCTTTGAAGAAAATAATGTCACCTGAAACAAACTAAAGTCTTGTTATATATTCTCATTGTTGGGCATGAATTCTATATTAACTTCTGAAATCTACTATTGCAGTAGTGGTCTTTTTATTTCTATATACCCTGAATAGGGGAGTAATTACTTTTGACGTTTCCACCTTTGCTTTTTCATTGCCTGTGCTTTGAGTGCTCATGTGTTAATTGTCCCCCTTCATTGTGATTATTTTTCCTGTGTCACTGAAAATTTGCCATTTAAAACATTTCAACTAGGTATGAAATTTTTATTTTCATTTATTTTATTTTCTACAATAAATGAAAAATATGCCTTTGCTCTTGCCAGTTTAAAACATGTAGAATCAGTCTTGCATATAAAGACAGGCAATACAGTTCATGATGGCTGCAGTGCAACTCATTGCTTTCCGTTTGCAAGCATCCCAGTTTTCTTGAATCTAAAACTGTTGTCTTTGTAAAATAGGTAGTTTGTTTTAATGTTTTCTTGTGTGTGCGTGTAGAGATAAGTGCTATGTGTTTTACAAAAGAAACTGAGGCGGAATGTCTGGTCCCAAGAAACTGTTACACATGAGAGATATAACAACGAATAAAAAGAAACATTTGAAACACCTGTAGCAGCTCTGAAACCTGGGCTCAGCATTGCGACAGGTGCTTCAGATGAGCTCCTGACTCACTCATGCCCACTTGCTCCATCCCTCTTTTCCATCTCTTGGTGAATTTTTAAGAGACTCTCACTACCCTCCATATTTTAGGACTAAATCCACCCTACCTCTTACTCTGTTTCTTTGTGTCAGCCCCTAAACTGTAAGCTGCTAAGAACATCTCTTTCAGACTTCTCATCCCTTTAATTATCTGCACTTCCTCCTTGACCCAAACTCTCCTTCTATTATTCCTTCCTAAGGTTTTATGTTTTGCCTTCTGCAACTGCCACTTCCTAATCCACATAATCCCCCCTCCCTATCCCCTGAAAGTTTCTTTGTACTTCTTTCTCTCTAGTGAATTATTTCATGACCTGAAGATGTTGCTTTGCTTTTAACCATTGCAAAGGAGATGCGTTCATCCCTCTTAGGAGAGGAGATGAAGTTAGTGCCCTCTGCACTTCCGGTTTTCTCTGCTACTTCCAGATCATGACTCCTCTACTGTCATATTAAAAGCCTACTAGAGGTAGCTGGGCACGGTGGCTCACACCTGTAATCCCAACATTTTGGGAGGCTGAGGCAGGCAGATCACTTGAGGTCAGGGGTTCAAGACCAGCCTGGGCAACATGTTGAAACCCTGTCTCTACTAAAAATACAAAAATTAGCTGGGTGTGGTGGCAGACGCCTGTAATCCCAGCTATTCAGAGGGTGAGGCACGAGAATCACTTGAACCCAGGAGGCGGAGGTTGCAGTGAGCCGAGATCACACCACTACACTCCAGCCTGGGAGACACAGTGAGACTCCGTCTCAAAAAAAAAGAAAAAAAAAGCCTATTTTCTCCTAAACAGAAGTTCTTCCATGATCCCAAGTGACTTGAAGGAGCACACAAATGACCCATTCAGCCCCAAGCCTCTCAGTGACATTTTCTCCTCTTTAGTGACATCCTAACCTCTTATCTGCCAGACACTCCTACAACCATACTGTTCTGCCTCTGAAATTGTAGACTCAAGTATATCAGCGTTGGAGTGTTTCACCACCCTTCATCCTGTTAGGACTGACGGACCAGTTACTACACAGGGAAATGTTAGGAATCCTCACTCATCATGCTTCAATGGTCTCATTTCAAGGCAATCTTACTTCCAAGTGTGCTTTACCTTAGAATGAAGTTCCTTGTTGTTGGGTTCTAGATGTCACTATCTGAGGTCCTGCTTCATCTCACAGTCTCAATGAGTGAAACACTGTGTTTTCTCTAATTTCCTAGAAACTCCTTTTCTTGTCCCATATCTCAATTCCTTAATAATGTGGCTTTTTTATTCTTCCTATGCACACGGTACATGTATTTTTAAACAGGATGACTACAACCTTTCAAGGAATTATTGAATTTTAGAAATTGTTTAAATATTATGGACTCCAGCCTTACTGAGTTACCCATGAGGAATCTGAGGCCTACATTTGACCATGGCAGGCATGAGAATGAAGAATAATGAACAGAGAGGAGAAATATTTAACAATAAAATGGCCAGACTTAGTTTCTAGATGTGAATACTGGAGAATAGCATTGGTCAAAGGTAAAGCTAAGATTCTAAACCTAAATGACTGGGAGAATTTTATATTTTTTCTTCTACCATAATCAAGTGGTATAAGATAATTTTAAAAGACAATAATCTCAGAGAGCTCTTTATTGGATCATGAAGGTTATTTTATGTGGTTGATTTTTATTTAGAATTATACAGTTTTGAAACTGGAGTTGTATAATTGCATTATTGTTAGTTAGAGCGAATATTTATTGGGTGCTTACTACGCTCCAGACAAAGTATTGTCAATTACATGGATTATCTGATTACATTCTCACTGCCATCTTATGAGATAGATATTATTCTCTTCAATTTAAAGATGAGGAAACTGAGGAATGGAGCGGTTAAGCAACATTTCCAGTTATACACTGCTAGTAAGTGGCAGAGCAGGAAGATGGTTTAAGGTAGTCTGCTTCTAGAGCCTCTTGTTTGTTCAGTAGATTGTTGCAGACCATGAGCTGATACTTGGTGAGAGAACAGTCCTGGGGATAAGGACTCACCAGTCATCAACCCAGAGGAAAGCCAGGAGAAGAATGTGTTCTCTATGGGAATCTATAGGAAGGGAAGACTGAAGGCTTACAACTAACCCTTGGAGGCAATCCACATTTAGGAGGAAAGGGAAGTAGCAAACAAACCAACCAGGAAGTAACCTTTGCAGGACTGTAAAAGGACCCAACTATTGTGTGGTGTCATCAAGCTAATTACAGAGAGAGTTTCAAAAAGAATTGAATGAGAATCTGTATTCATAACTATAGAAACATCAAGGAGAAGAAGAAGAGGACAAAAGCTATTGACTAGACTGATAATGGATATATTAGTGATGCCTGAGAGTATGGGTGGAAAAGTGATTGTAGATGTAGGGTTGAAATGGAAACACTGAAAGGTTTGGCAGTAAAATGGGTTATGTGAAAATAAAGAGTAGTCAATAGGACCAAAAGTTTTTTTTTTTTTTTTTTTTTTTTTTCAGGAATAAGAGCTATATGCCTGTTGGAAGGCAAAGAGGAAAGGGTCGGAGATATTGGTCAAGGAGGAAGCTTCCATGGGTCAAAGTCAAAAATTTAAAAAGAATGGAGGGAAAAGTTAAAGACTATGAGAAGCTAGAAATATATGGAGGTGAAGAAAATGTTTTTGTAGGTATTTATATCAAGGAGCCATGATTTCAGTGAGCTATAAACTGTCATTGGCTGATGGTGAAGGCTGAAGAGACTATCTGTAGGAGAGAAGAAAGTGGTATGGAATCCCATACCAGTTCTCTCATCCCAGGTTTGCAACTTGCATTTTACCCCCTTGATATACTATAGGTTCTTTGAGAGTGGGGTTAGTCTTGTTATTTTATACTTTAATTCATAGCAAAGCATTCTGCATATATAGTAGTGTAGTTTTGTTGAAGTAGGTTGAATTGAAATGAATGGAAATGGCTGAAAGGATTGCTTAGAGCAGCATGAGCTGCACTAAAGTTGGATCCTATGAATATGTGGTGTGACAGGTGGGTAGAGCTCTGTGGTTCACTGCAGCTGTGCCCTGGGCCCCAACAAAGGAATAGAGAAAGCAGAAAGTGATCTAGCAAGCAACATAGAAGATCTGGGCTGCAATGGGATTGTGTTGGGGCTAACCATGTTGTCCAAAAGGTGTGAGGAAACCAGCCATTGTTGTTGGTGGACTAACAATGCGATACAGTTACTGGTGCAGGTTTGTGGAGCACTTACTGGTGATGAGAAAGGAGAACATGTGCAACAGAGAAGATTTCATTGTAGAGGACAACATTGTGTTTCAGTTTGTTGTTAAATTGACCAAAATAGAGGTAACATACGTAAATAACAGAAATAGCAAGTCAACCTTTTGAATTTTTAATTATGTTAGAGAGATATAAAATATCATATCAGTTCACTAATACAATATATATTATAATACTCTTAATTTCTGCGTGGTGGGTTCAGGAAGAACTGAACATTCATCCAATTACATATGTTAATAGTTTCTAGAAAAGTAGCAATCATACATTCAATTCTTACTAAATGTTCTTCTAACACTTAGACATTTTATCTATTTTAAATCACAGAGCAACACAATGAGGTAGATATTATTTTTATCTGATTTTATAGATAGGGAAACTGAACCGAGGCACAGGGAAATTAAGAAACTTGTCCATGGTTACACTGCTGTTGGGAGGTAACACAGGAATTTGAACCCCGTCAGTCTGACCTTAACTGTATTTTTTTTTTTTTTTTTTTTTTTGAGACAGAGTGTCACTCTGTCACCCAGGCTGGAGTGCAGTGGCGCGATCTTGGCTCACTGCAAGCTCCGCCTCCCGGGATATGCCATTCTCCTGCCTCAGCCTCCCGAGTAGCTGGGACTACAGGAGCCTGCCTCCACGCCCAGCTAATTTTTTTTTTTTTTTCGTATGTTTAGTAGAGACGGGGTTTCACCATGTTAGCCAGGATGGTCTCGATCTCCTGACCTCATGATCCTCCCACCTCGGCCTCCCAAAGTGCTGGGATTATAGACGTGCATCTCCTGGCCAGCCATTAAATGCTACATTCCAGTGAATTGTGAGGGACAGCAAGCCAGCTTTTGATTCAGACATTCTGGATTAGTTTCTTGTAATGGAGATAAATTTACTGTCCTATACATTGAACATAAATTGTCCAATAATTGAAAAGTGTTTGTACACTATTTGACAATAAAATACTTTTGGCAAATTTTGGTTCCATTTGTGCATAAAACTAAATGTGTTGTTTTCCTCAATATTTAAAGAGTAGTTCTTATATATCCTCCTCAGAAATAATTTGGGAAAAAACATTTTTATTCAATAGGTAATTGAATATCTCCTTTTGGATCTTCCCAGAAACCCCATCTCAGCATTTCAAAAACTGACCTTATTGTCATTCCTCCAAAAGTTCCTTCTCTCAGTGAACAGCATCACCAGCCACCACTTGCCCAAGCAGAAACCTAGCCGTCATCATTCGTACCATCTCCTCATGTCAACATACCTAATTTGTAGGACACTGTTGGATTCACCCAATTCTTGAAAATTCCTCTTGCCTTCTAATTGATTACGCTTCCTTCAGTCTTAACACATTTCCTACATTGTGCTCTTTCTAAAATCCATCCTGTCCCTCCCTGTTTAATGTTCTTCAGTGGTATCACACTGCTTAACCTGGGCTATAATGGTCCTATGATCCATCCTATTTGTCTTTCCAGATGTTCTTGTTTTCACTCTACACTACACCTCTCTCATTTCCTCTGATATATTATATGTATTCATCCAGGCCTTGCCCATAAAATGCCTTAGACTAGAAATCTTTCCTCCTTATTTTCATTAAATCCTACTTATCCTTAAGATCTTGCTTAGAGGTCAGTCATAGTATCTCCTCCTCCTGGAATGTTTCCCTGACTCCCCAAGTTTATATTAGGTGTTTCTTCTATGATGTGCTTCACATTCCCCATGCTTCTATCTCAGCACTCATCACACTGTGTTTGTTTGTACTTACCATGGCTATCTTTGTGGTACTCAGGTTGAGAACCACAGCAGTAAATTATAGAGGTAGGAAATATGAACAGGAGAAGTATTGCATCTGCTCTTATTTATTAAAATGCTTCCCCCACTCCCTCGGTGGAAATAGCTCCATCACTGTCTGCAACAACAATCATATTAAGCATCTACTAAAGTGCTTCGTGGCAGCTTGTGAATTTATGAACTCTGGAATGATTTTTATTATTCAATTAACTTTACAAAGTGTTATGGGGAAAACAGAGGGAATATATGAAAATCTATGTAATATATGGAAATCTATATATGGAAATCTAGATTATATATATATATATATATTTAAAGATATGTGTGGCCATCCAAATTATGTGAAAAAAGGACTAAACTCAAAAATGATGTTACTGATGAATGAAATTGGTGGTTTATTTCTATAACAGTGTATTAGTTTTAGGTCAAGTTTACTTCATAAAGTTTACAGCTTAATGGCCTTTTGAATGGGATTCTTGTATGTAGCATGTTAATAATTGTGTAAAACTGGGAGATTATTTTACTATTCTACATTGTTACAGAAATTTATAGCACTTATAATTTTTAGGATATAATTTTGGTGACATGTGGTTTATTTGATGAGAGTGTTTGGTCACAAATATGCTCCCCAACTATAATCTAATTTCTGTAAGAAAACAGAATCTCTCTTTCAAAAATCTACAGTGTGACTTTTGATTCACAGGTCTTTAGCAGTATGGGTAAAAATGAAGGTAGTGTGTAAGAAAATTAGAGGAATAACTGAAGGATTACTTACAGCAATAGAAATTATAGCATAATTTGAGAGTCTGTTTCTTGCTGCTTTCCCTAAACTGTTGATTTTCTCTACATAAAGCTTATCCTGAGCTCTGCCCCTTCGAGAATCATCATTGTTAGTCTTCCATCCAACAGTTGGACTCACAGCAGGCGGGTGTATTGGAGGGCTCTTTCTTGACTTCTAAAAACAGCAGTTACGTTAAAACTTACATATTAGTTTAATTTTTGATTTATTGTCCCTGTGATATAATATTTAAGTATCCTCTACAAACTCAGTGGAATATAGAAATGTTAAAAAAGAATATATTAAAATACTTTGGTTATGCTTTGATAGGAATCATTCAAATTCACATTGACATCTAATGAGAAAAGCATTGGCACAATTACTTCTGCATTGGATAAAAACATTATTTCCCTCCCAAATTATACTACCTGAAGATAAATTTTTTACTTTTATATCCATTCTGTGCCTATTAATGTGTAAGTCATAGGTGGCTTCTAAAAGTAACATTCTAGCATGAGTTTACATTTGGGAAACTAATTTTCCAGCTAATTGTTGTTTAGTAAATTTTGGGAAAGTATTTTCTGTTTTCCCCTGTGAAATAAAGATTAGTCATGACTTTAATTTTCTATTTTGACACGTTCACTGAACATAGCATATTTACATTGCAATATTTAGGACACTGGAAATTCATTAGAATCAAGAGGAGTAGTTGCAGCATCCAAATGGATGAACTGTTGCTGATTCTTTAATATCTCCAAAGGGAAACCAAGCTTATAAATCTTGCTAACCACCTTACACTGAGCTGTCACCTTCAATGTACCTTTGATATACTCACTTTCTTTTAAAGGGGAAGATAGGAAACAGAAAGTGTATCATTTCATTCACACAGACTTTGTCTGGAAGTGCGGCTGTGATATGATTTCTGTCAGAAAAGATCTGCTTGATATTCCTCTGTCTTTGCTTGGGAACACAGAGTGGTTTGTCTGTTTTCTAAGCCAGTGTGTAGTATATGCTGCCTTGTCAAACAGCATTTGTCTTCACTCACTACCTGCTTGTTGAGTGGAGCTCAGCCTCGCTGCGGTGGCAGAGAAAGCCTTAAGGCTGCTCAGCATCTGTCTCTTCATGTAATTAACTGCAGCCCTGGATAGGGAGCAAAACAGAGATTTTTGTCCTGTGAAAGAGTAATGTGTCTAGACAGGAGTTTCTAAGCAGGCAAAAGATTTCTTAGTGTTTCTGTTCAAATGGAAGGACATATTATTTTTTTTTTGTCTCAAAATGTTTTGAAGGTAAAGTGACCATTTGCTTTCATGGCAAAATAACTTTGGAAAATCCACTTAATATGGTTTATAAGCCTTTCAAAATGCCTTTACTTGACAATTTTAGCATTGAAAAAATAATGATAATAATGAATTATAGTTCATTGAACAAAATAAGAATCCATGAGTCAATACTGACACAAATAAATGACTGAATAAATAAAAGATGAACAAGAGGAGCTCTTTCTTATGGTGGAATTCCAACTAATGCCAACTAATAGATGTTGAATGAATTAGTTAGAAAAATCATAATTTCACAGCTGTTATGGTAATAATTGACTCAAGCAAGAACCATCAATGGATGTTAATACTAACTGATGAAAATTTGCTAAGGATCAGCATATATACAGTCTCAAGTTATCTCTTTACAAATTTGTATATACATGTATATATAATTATATGTGATTGAATCTGGGTGAAGGGTATATGGGACTTTTTTTTCTTTTTCTAACTTTTCTGAAAGTTTGAAATTATATCAAAAATAAATAAGTAGCAAAAAAGTAAAATTTACATACTCTTGGTTTTCTTCCTAAGTAATTGGAACATGGCTCAGTCCTGGACATGCTTTTTTTTTTAAACATAGTATTAGAAAAAAAACAATGCATTATGCTACCCAGAAGCTTGACTCACCAGCTGCCAACAAAGCTTCATTAATGTAGCATGTTCTGCAATCAAAACCCTCTCTCTTGGGAAGAGTGACATCCTGAATATTTGCCTTTCACAGAGACTCACTTAGAGACTTGCAATCCATAAGGATTTCTAAGTGGAATGTGAGTATCTGCATGTGTAGCTCCCTGACACATTTTATAGTACCCTTTAACTTTACAGAAAAGGGCTCTGAAATTTAGAAAATGAAGGCTTGCAATTCTTTCTATGTCATTCTTAATAAGCTTGCTTTCAAGAAGTAGAAGGCAAAGAATCCTCCTCCTCTAAGACCGTATTGTGGAGTCATAGCAGCCCTGATAATTGCTTAAATGAGAAGAGGAGACTAAATATTATAATAAAGATTGCAAACAGTGTTGAAGACAATTATACTGAATTCTTTCCTGGATATTTTTGGTATTCATTTGATATAGGGCATTGTGACGCTTGAATGAATGGATTTATAATTTAACCTAAAAGTTAGAATTAAGCAATTCAATGTTTGTCTGAAGGAAGATTCATTACTCTTAACCAGATGATTTTTTAGATGCCCTAATATGCTTCTTCCTGCAGTAATCCCTTGGTGTTTCCCTTGCAACTGACAATGGACCCGACTGCTCCTCCACAGCCAGCACAGATGGTTCCTCTTACCTGAAGCCACTGGCTTTGACCGACCTTTTCTTTCTGGTTGGTGACTAAAGGAGATAGTTGACTTCATTCTTAAAGGGGAGAACGAGTCAAGTCACAAGTCTCAGTTCTCTTTGCAATTTGATCTCCCTTACCAATGCTGTGAGATGGTCTCCAGTGTGCTCCTAAGATTGCCAACAAATATTTTATTTTATTTGACGTTTGTATTTTTGGTATATATTTTACATTAAAAATATTTTGAGGTTTATATTTTCTTAAAAATATAAGCTCTCCCCTTTCTCACTCCCCCCACCCTTTTTAAGATGGAAGTGATGTGTAAGAGTCGCATTGTCCAAACTCCTTATTTTGATGATTAGAAAACTGAATCCAAAGAATCCCTAAGTTCCTGGGGATCATGCTTTTTGGTGAAGCTGGAATTTGGACCAAAGGTTTCAGATTTCCAGGCTGGCATTACGTTCACATGTTGCCACTTTTATAATAGTCAAGAATCTTAAATTTATTGAAAATTCTTGGAAAACAAAAGCATAATAATTTTTAAGTAGAATACATAAGGAAATTAGATTCGACATAAGGCTTTTACTATTTTTTCATTTTGAAATAATTTTTGATTTACAGAAGAATTGTAAAGGTAGTATAGAGAGTTCCTACAGCTCTTTCACTCAATTTCCTCTAAAGCTAACATCTTACATAACCAACATCTTACATAACCATGATACATTTATCAGAACTAATAAATCAGAGTTGGTACAATAGTATTAACCAAACTAAAGACTTATAAGGTTTCATCAGTTTTTCCACTGATGTTACCTTTTCTTTTCCCAGGTTTAATCCAGGATACCACACTGCCTTCAGTAGTTGTGTCTCGTTAGTCTCCTCTAATCTATGACAGTTTCCCAAAATGTCCTCATTTTTCATAGCCTTGACCCTTCTGAATAGTGGCCAGATATTTTTTAGAATGTTCCTGAATTGGGATTTGGAAAGAATTTATAAAATTAGACTGAAATTATTGATTTTGGAGGAAAATACCACAGAAGTAATATTCTCTTTTTATTGCATTATATCAGGGGGTGCATGATATCAATATTACATATTCCTGGTGATGTTAACCTTGATCACTTGGTTAAGATGGTGTCTGCCAGATTTCTCCACTGTCAAGTAACTGTTTTTTCCTTCTGTACTCTATTTGCTAGAAGCAAATAGTTCAGCCCACACTCAGGGAGGGAGGAATTAAGCTCTTACCTCCTAGAGGGAGGACCATTAAAAAATTTGTGGACATAGTTTGGACATCACAATAATTAATAAATATTTGAGGGGAGATACCATAAGTTTGAGCAAATATCCAATTTCTCCCAAAAGTTCTGCCCACTAATTTAGCATTCATTAATGCGTTTTGTCTGTAGCATTTATAGCTATGATGTTCTAATGGTGATTTGTTATTTCTGTCATTTTTAAAACATTTACTAATTGGAATTCTTTTGCAAGGAAAATATATCCATTCTTTCATTCTTCCTCATTTACTTATTTATTAAACTTATTGTTTATATGGACTGATGGATATTTACTTTATTCTTTGGGTGACAATTTAATACTATCATTATTTATTTTTGCTCAGATTGTTTCAGCATTAGCCATTGGAAACTTCTTCATGTTGGTTCCTGCTGTGTCTTTTCAACAGGCACCATACTTCCTCCCCCCTCCCCACTTTTTAATTTTTATTTTATTTTGAGTCCAGGTTTCATTCTATTGCCCAGGCTGGAGTGCAGTGGCACAATCATGGCTCACTGCAGCTTTGAATTCCTGGGCTCAAGTGATTCTCCCATCTCAGCCCCCTGAGTAGCTAGGACTACAGTTGCATGCAACACTGGACTAATTTTTTTATTTTTTGTAGAGGTGGGGGTCTCACTATGTTGCCCAGACTGGTCTCGACCTCCTGGGGTCAAGCAATCCTCCTGCCTCGACCTTCCAAAGTGCTGGCATTACAGACATGAGCCACTGTGCCTGCCCCCACCCCCTTTCTTTTTAAACTCTCTCTTACTTTGTGACACTACAACACAATCAAAGTTCATCTTGTGGTTCCTTGCTGCAATATAGAATCAGCTATTTTGTTCAGAAGTCTTAATCTCCTTATTGGAGATGGGGAGAAGGCTATTTAGAAACCAAGGTCTGGATGCTAGTGTGTGTACACACACACACACACACACACATACACACTATGGTATGGTAAAATAAACATGAGTTTATTCTGATATGTTTGATTGTAATCCAGCACCATGGGTTCATTCTAACATTCCTGTCTTGGTTATTGGTAAGGTCATTTGTAACTTTTTTCTCTGATAGCGAGAAGCCAGGCTCCTATCATCTGTATCCCTTTTTTGTTCAATTTTAGTATAAATATAAAAAAGAGTGTCAGAATAACCAAACTGTACTACTAGGAGAAACAAATTTAACAGCTGGCATACAATACTTATATACAATTCTTTTTGTCTTTGTCTTTTTATCTAGGTATGGCCTTTCAATATCTAGACAAAATACTTGTTTTCCAGTTACTAGATTAGCGCTTTTCTTCCTTACCCCTTCAGTGAGGTTATGTTGTATATTTATTGTACACTTAGATTGATTTGTCAAAAGCTGTATTTCATTTTGATTCCCCCAAATCCTGATTTTGTTTTGTTTTGTTTTACTTTGCAGACAGTAAAAGCCACTCTTCAGCATACAGTTCTATGAGTTTTGACAAATGCATAGTCATGTATTTACCACTCCAGTATCATAAAGAACAGTTTGATTACCCTGAAATATTTCCTTGCATGTTGCCTTTGTAATCAATCTCTATCCTCTACCCCTGTCTCTGGCAACTACTTATCACTTTCTGTCCCTACAGCTTTTCCTTTTACATAATGTCATTCAAAATGGAATCATAAAATACATAGCCTTTTAGGCCTGGCTTTTTTTCTCAAATAGCTAATGCATTTAAGATTCATGTATATTGCTGTGTGCAACAGCTCATTCCTTTATATTGTTAAATAGCATTCCACTATATGGATATATCAAAATTTATGTGTTCAACTGTTGAAAGGCATCTTAGTTGTTTTCAATATTTGGTGATGATGAACGCTGCTATACATGTTCATGTACGTTTTTATGCGAACAAAATTTTCTGTTCATGTGAGAAAATACCTAGCAGTGTGATTGCTGGACCATGTGTGTCTTAGTTCATTTTGTGAAGCTCTAACAAAATACCTGAGACTGAGTAATTCTTAAAGAACAGAAATTTATTTTCTCACAGCTTCAGAGGCAGGGAAGTCCAAGATCAAGGCACCAGCATGTTTGGTTGTCAAGTGAAGGCTGCTCTTTTCTTCCAAGACTGTGCCTTGGTGCTGCATCCCACATAGGGAAGGAATGTTGTGTCCCCGCAAGGCAGAATACAGAAAGGGCAAAAGGGATGAACTCCCTTTGTCACGCCCTTTTATAAGAGCATCTAATTCCATTCATGAGTGCAGAGCATTCATAACTGCATCACCTACCAAAGGTCACACTTCCCAATACTCTTGCACTGGGGATTAAGTCTCAATATGATTTTTGAAGGGCCAAAAACATCCAAACCATAGCATATTGTGTGTGTTTGACTTTATAAATATGTACCAAGCTGTTTCTGATGTGGCTGTACCATTTTATATTCTCATCAAAAATGAATGAAAGCTCCTGTTGCTCTGCATCCTCTATAGCCCTTGGTATCAGCAGGGTTTGGGGTTTGTTTTTGTTTCATTTTGCTTTCTCTTTGCCATTCTAATAGATGTGTGGTGATCGTTCATTATGGTTTTAATTTTCAATTTACTAATGACTAATGATGTTATACCTCTTTTCCTGTGCTTTGTGCCATCTGTCTATCTTCTTTCGGTGATGGGTCTGTTCAGATCATTTGCCCTTTTTAAAATTGGGTTGTTTCTTATTGCTGAATTTTAGAGTTCATTATACATAGTGGAGACAAGTCATTTATCAGATACATGATTTACAAATATTTTTTCCTAGTCTGTGTCTTCTCTTTCATTTTCTTAAGTGCTTACACAGAGCAAACGTTTTTAATTTTGATAACGTCTAATTTAAATTTTGTTTCTTTATGGATGATCGTGCTGATTGTGCCTTTGGGGATGTATCTAAAATCTCATGGCCAAACTCCTATTATTTTCTAGATGTTTTAAGAGTTTTATATTTTGCCATTAAGTCTGTGATCCATTTTGGTTTACTTTTTTTGTATAAGGTATGAGGTATTTATCAAGGTTCTTTTTGGTTTTTGTCTTATTTTTTGTTTTGCTTCATAGAGACATCCACTTGGTTCAGCACTATTTGCTGAAAGACAATTCTTTCTCAATTAGTTGCTTTTCTACCTATGTCAAAAGTCAGTTGACTATGTTTCTGTGGGCCTATTTCTGGGCTCTCTCTTTTGCTCCATTGATTTTTATTTCTATCCTTGCACTAATACCACACTACGTTGATCATGTAACTCCATAGCAAGACCTGGAATTGGGTAGTGTGAGTCTTCTACCATTGTTCTTTTTCAGAATTACTTGGCAATTCTAATTGCTTTTGACCCTCCATATAACTTTTAGAACCAGCTTGTCGAAATCTACAAAAGAGTTTGCTGGGATTTTTATTGGAATTACATTGAATCTATAGATCAAATTGGAAATAATTGTCATTAATATCTTAATGATATTAAGTTTTCCAGTTCATGAATATGGTGTATTTATTTATTTAGATCTTTGATTTTTAAATCAGTGTTTGTAGTTTTTACCACGTAGATACTGCACACATTTTAAAAAGACTTATACCTAAGTGCTTTATCTTAATATTTTGTGTAAATGTAAATGTGATGTTTTGAGATTTAGTTTCAAATTTTATTTCTTTCATTGCGGGTATATAGAAATACATTGATCTTGTAGCTCACAACCTTGTTAAACCTTCTTACTAACTCTAGGATTTTTATTGCACTTTTTTTTAAAGATAATCATATTGTCTGTGAATCAGGACTCTTATATTTCTTTCTTCCCAGCCTGTATGCCTTTCATTTCTTCTTTTTATTCCTCCCCTTAGTGTATTGCCAAGGATTTCTGGGACCATGATTAATAGCAGTAGTAAGAAATGAAATCTTTGTCTTACTCTTGATTTTAGGGGGAAACATTCAGTCTCTCACCATTGAGTATGATGTCAGCTGTAGGGTATACATATATATTTATTATAATAAATATTATAATAAACAAATATATTATATATTTATTAAATAAATATATAATATATTATAACATATACTATATGTTATATATTATAACAATAATATGTTATATATTATATATTATATAATAATATGTTATATATTATAATAAATATATAAATAATTTATATATATAGATAAATTACAGGTGTGAGCCACCCCACCTAGACGTTTTTACCCTTACAAAGGGCATATATACATATACATATATATATATATAACTTGAGGTCAGGAGATCAAGACCAGCCTGGGCAACATGGTGAAACTCCATCTCTGCTAAAAATACAAAAGTTAGCCTGGCATGGTCGTGGGTACCTGTAGTTTCAACTACTTGGGAGGCTGAGGCATGAGAAATACTTGAACCTGGGAGGCAGAGGTTGCAGTGAGTGGAGATTGTGCCACTGCACTGGGTTACTGAGTGAGTCTCCGGAAAGAAAAAAATGGGTAAAAAAGTTTCATTCTATTCCTGGTTTGCTGTAAATTTTTATTACGAATGCATTTAGAATTTTGTTGGATAATTTTTCTGCATCTATTGAGATCATTACATGATTTTCCTATTTAGTCTATGGTAAGTATGGTATGTTACATTAATTGATTTTCAAATATTGAACAATCTTGCATTGTTATAATGAATCTCACTTGGTCGTATGATGTTTCATTCCTTTTTTATATTGCTGGATCTAATTTGGTAATATTTTGCTGAAGCTTTTTGTATCTATGTCCATGAGGAATATTGATCTGTAGTTTTCTATTCTTGATAGAGCTTTAGCTGGGTTTAATATTGGGATAATGCTGGCTCGTAAAATGAGTTGGGAAGTTTTCTCTCCTCTTCTATGTTCTGGTATAAACTATATAGCATTGGTATTATTCTTTATTAACTGTTTGGTAGAACTTGACAATACACTTCTTTGAGCCTGTACTTTTCTGTTCTGGAAAAATTTTGACTACAAATGTAACGTCTTGAATACACCTATTAAAACTACATATTTCTTCTTGGAAAGAGATTTGTAGTTCTTGTCTTTCAAATAGTTGTTATATTTTAATTTGTCATATATATGGGCATAGAGTTGTTGGTAGTATTCACTTATTATACTTTCACTGTGTATGCGATTGATCTAGTGATGTCTTGTTTTTCATTTCTGATATCAGTTATTATTGTCTTGTTTTTCTCTATGTCAGTCTAGCTAGAGGTTTATCAATTTTAGAAATAGTTTTTCATTCATTGATTTTCTCTGTTGTTCATTGGTTTTCAATTTCATTGACCTATGCTCTAACCTTTATTATTTCTTTCTTTTTGCTTGCTTGATGCTTAATTTGCTTCTCTTTCTCTAGTTTCTTAAGGCAGAAGCTTAGATTACAGATTTTACATCTTTATTCTTTAGTAATATAAAATTTAATGCTGTTAATTTCCTTCAAAGTAGTGCTATAACACGGGCAATCTCTGAATTTTGATGTTGTATTTTCACTTTCATTTAGTTAGCTTATAAAAAGCTACATTAACTTAAATTAAAAGTATTTTATTTCAGAATATTTAAAAATTTTGACACTTCCTCTTTGATCCAGGGGTTATTTAGAAGTAAATTACACATAGTATTTTGAAGAAGTAGGATTTAACATAAGTTTTCAACATTTGCTATATGCTAGAAAAGTAATTTTTATATAATTTTTTTTCATGTGGAGTGCCATTTTACTTTTTTAAATTAAGTAAATATTAAAATTTAGGAAAGTTAAGCCTAATTTATGATTGAAAATCAAAATTAACTTGGTTGGTCTCAAATCTCTTATGAAATATGCAAAGTGCATTGAGTTTACCACAAGCTGTACAATATACTTGTTGGATCGACTTCAGTACCCACCTTCTTCATAGAATATAACACACAAAAACAAATTTCCTCTACTTTTATTTTAGATTTTTTAATATCAAGACTAATATTGACAGTCAGGAAGTAGTAACTTTTCCTGAAATACTACACATTGTCTTACAAATAGCTTATACCAGATGTCTAGACTTTGGACTTTGTTTCTTCAGTTTACATAGTGGTTGAAAATTTAACTATTCCTTTAGCTTTGTGTCTCTCAGTACCATCATGGCCTCTCCATGTATCTTTACAGTATACCTTCTGAGACCTGCTGAGGATATGACTCAGCAAATCACCATGGTGATGGGAGAAAGCCAGGTTGTGGGGGCACCAGCTATAACGGGGTAATACTTGGAAGGCAATTTCTTTCTGAGAACTTGCTGCAGCCTAGCTTGGAGTCCTGGCCTGGAAAGCTTGAATATGAAAAGTCAGGTTGGTATCTATCTTTGGCAGGACTGCCTCACTGGGTCTGGGTTTAAATAACTCCTTGGAAGTCAGATCTTTCATTCAGCCGCAGGGAGCTTACCCTGTTAAGTAGCCTGTCTTGGTTTGTCAGTCATTATTTGTTCACTGCAAGGGGTTAACCCTCAGCTACATGGTCACCATTTCAGGATCTTGTTATTTGGAAAGTAGGATTCAGACCTGTAGTTTAACATGTTGATACATTTCTGTTAAGAGAAAAATACAGCATTTCTTTTAAAATGACTTGTTAGCAATTTATAGTTAACATACACTCAAATGAGACCTTATGGGAAGAAGTATGATTTTATTTATGTTTTTCTTAAGGTACCTTAAGACAGTGCATTTTACATTGTACTTTATTTGTGTAACATTTGCTCTTAGAAAGACAGGGAGCGTACCATTTTCATTTTTGGTTTCTCAACAACACAGAAGTGCATGGCACATACTAGGCCTCAAGCACTGCTTGTTGAATGAATATTACATATGTGGGTGAAGTATATGATATTCTTTCTCCTTGTTTTACTTTGATCCTTCATTTTCAGTACATTTAAATTCTTTTCCCAAAAATATTATGAAAGCTGTTTTCTCTTTGTCTTATATGTTCCCAGTGTTTATCTGAAGGAATGCAATTTGCTACCCATGTTACTTAAAAAAATTTACTTGTATGTTTATTGGTAAAATCTTTCATAAATAAACTTATTTTGGTGTTATGCCTACTGAATAATTCCAGAAGTATATATATTTTTTCAAGCTGGAGAAGACAAGAGAAATTAGGGAAGAGACAGCAGAGATCAAATGTGCAGGCTTGTACACCTGGTGTAGTTACGTTTAGAGTAACCACAGAACCTAGTGACGTCGGTGGTGCATGGCATGCCCTAAATAAACATCTAGTTTAAAGTTTCCCAATTTGAGCTGTCCGATCCAGTTGCCACTGAGTTTTCTTTTATGTTACTTAAGAGCCTTACTAATTTTCAGCACCAATACAATTCAGTTTTTAGAATTAGGCAATTAGAATCATGGCATTTTGCTGATTGGGAATACCCAACTAAGCCTGGTGACCTTGCATGGGACCCCTTTGTCTCTGTCTTTTTATTTATTATTATGGTATATGGTTAAGGTGTACACTCTGATGTTTTGATAAATGTATACCTAGTATTACAGTCTATTTCTGGAGTCACACTCACTCCCAGCTATGCTGCCTCTCTCCTCCTTAAGGCAGGCTCTCATAGCCTTCTCTCCTGTCTGCTCTTGAGGTCTTGGGTTCTCATTACAGCTGAACACCTGCTGTTTCAAGCCAGCCTCCTCATGGTTACCAGGGATGTCCCTTAGCCCTCCCTTGGCAAACCCGTTTGTCAGTTGCCTCACTCTCTGGCAGCACCTATTTTTATGCCAGCAATATTACAGCTTTCTCACATCAGCTTTTCCTCGTAACTCTCACTTAAATGTGACTGTATGATACCAGGAAGCTTCCCACCCCAAAATTATTTTGGAATTGCATAATTTCAAGGCTACTGGCCTGGAAAATGTCACAAGAATGGGAAGTTCTCACCCATGTTACTTACTGGAACATAAATGTGCTTCACTGCACTTGCGTGATTAGCGTCAGTGAAACTGTCTATTCATGTCACGTCTTTACTAAATAACTTTAACTACAATTCCACTGTGTAAATAGCCTAGTACAGTTAATCAGAAAAAAACAAACATAGAATTGTATTATAAAACACACGTGCTTTGTTATTAGTGTAAACTAAATGTCTTCAGACCTTACTACCCGAGGTAAAAATAAGGTCACCTAACAAATAGCTGCATTTCCTAATTGCTTCATCTGCACAGCTGCAGCACCTTCACTCTTGTAGATCACCTTTCCTATGTCTCCCTGGTTATTTCTGAGTGTCTCCAGTGTTTCACATCTTGTCTCTTATATTTTTTGGCTGTGGCTTCCTTGCTGAGAGCCCACGACTCATAAAGAAAGTTCTTACCTGTCCTGTGGGTGCCTCCATAACAACATGGGTTTGCTGCTCCTAGGAGCATCTTCCGGTGCATCCCTAACACTACAAATGTCTCAAGATGCAATAAGGTGTCGTGCTTTGTTCAGTCCCCACAGTGATGATTCTGGGTTATGCTCCTGGGAGAGCATATCTTCAAATGAGATCTTACAGGAATAAGAAGAATGTTTTTGTATCTCTCTTAAGGTACCAAATGCATTTTACCTTGCATGCACAAACTCAACTGCATATATATATATATGTTCCACTGTAGTTGACACCCCAACTCTGTGCTGCTTTTGTCACTTAGATTCTGAGGCAGCTCTGATTGTGCCTTTTGTTTTCACAATGTCTCTTGAAAAAGCGTCTTCTTCCCATCTTAGGGTTTCTTTCTTGGCAGGTTTTGGGGCTGACTCGAGTAGAGATACACCATCCTTCACCTTTCCAGTCTAAGTGTTTTGGGCTCACGTATGCACACACACCTGCACACATGACCAGTCACCGCTCACCTCTCCAAATTAAGACACGAGTCTTCCCTGGATTGTCTCTTCCTGTCATTCACAGCAACTTTTGGTAGCCTGAGAGGTTTCTAGTTCAACTTTTTACAAGAACAACCACAAATTGGTTTTATTTTTGGCATCCCACAGCATTCATCTTTTAAAAAATGGCTTCCTAGGTAAAGGTATGAGAAATATCTTGAATGCACAATATTATATATTATTTAAAGAGGATGCTTTCTCCGACTCTATAAATACATTATTGAATGGATTTGAGCAGAAATAATTCACTCTGCCTGGTAGTGCTCCATCTTAGAAAGCACAAATATGCTGGTTTCTAATGTGTAAAGCACAGAAGAGAGAAAAAGCCTAGTTAAATGTACTTTAAATGTCTGTATTTTGATGCAATATGGTTGCATTTCTGTGTGTTAGAGAGTGAGGATAAAGAGGACTACAGATTCTCAGATTTGTTTTTATTTTTCCAAATTCCCAAGGACCATGATAGGGCTCTCAGATTCAACCTGGGAGTCAGTAGAGCAGTCTGTGTTTGTTTGGATTGTCTTGTTCTTCAGGAATATAAATGATCTTGATTTTGGAACATGGTTTCACTCACATTAAATGAAATATTGAAAAATATCTTCTCCCTCTGTACTATGTAAACAGGCTTTACAAAAGTCGTTTCTCTGTTCTGATATTATTTGATCTTACAAAGCATTCCCCTCATTTAACTACTTCCTACTTGTGAAACACTTTCTTCTCTTGATTTCTCTCCATCACTGAACACTCCTTTTCAATCTCTTTTACTGCCCCCCCTCTTATTTTGTCCTAACTCTAAATGTCACGTATGCCAGGGCTGTGTTCTCTGACTTCTATATTACCTCTCCACTTCCTGGATGATCTCATCTACTCCCATGAATTGGAATGCCATAGAAATATCAGTGATTCCCAAATCTGTAGCTCCAGTTTCAACCTCTGCAGATTCATAGATCCATTTTCATGCCAGCCACTTTCATCTGGAGGTGTTACTGGAATTTCTAACCATATGAAGCCATATGAAGCTCATTTGAAGTATTTGGGGCCAGAGGAACAGCTGGTGGAAAGGCTCTAGATCAAGCTTGTCCAACCCATGGCCCATGGGCCACATGTAGCCTACGATGCCTTTGAATGTGACCCAACACAAATTTGTAAACTTTCTTAAAACATTATAAGATTTTTTTGCGTTTTTTTTCTCATCAGTTATCAGCTATCATTAGTGTTAGTGTATTTTATGTGTGGCTCAAGACAATTCTTCTTCCTCCAATGCAGCCCAGGGGAGCCAAAAAATTGGATGCCCCTGCTGTAGATAGAGAAAGGCTTAGTATGTTCTAGAAGCAGAAAGAAAGCTGGGAGGCTGGAGAAGAGTGGGGTGAGGGAAGCAGTTAGATACAGATTAGGAGATTAGGTCACAGAGGTGACCAAATAGAGTGCTTATTTTCCTTTCCCAAACTTACTCCTTACTCCAGTTATCATCATCATCATCCCATTTTTTTTCAAGCTGAATAGCTGGGAATTTTCCCTCTTTTCTTTTTCCTTCACTAGCCCCATCCCAATACCTATTCTATCCCCAAGTTCAATGGATGAATCTGTTCATTTATTTCCATGCCTACATCTTGAGTTTGTCCATTTATTTTGATTTTCACTAAACTGTACTCTCAGGCACCATCATCCATTCTACAGCATTTGGTTCCTAACTGCTCTTTCTGCTTCTACTTTTGCTCTCTACTATTTATTCTCCATCTAGCAGCCAGAGTCATTATTTTTAAATGAAAACCAGATAATTTCACTCTCCTGCTTAGTACTCTTCATTATGTTTAGAATAGAATCTGAACTTCTTATCTTGGCTTGCAAAACACTCCACAGTCTGGCTTCTGCCCACCTCTGTGACCTAATCTCCTGTATCTAACTGCTTCCCTCACCCCACACTGCTCCAGCCTCCCAGCTTTCTTTCTGCTTCTAGAACATACTAAGCCTTTCTCTATCTACAGCAGGGGCATCCAATTTTTTGGCTTCCCTGGGCTGCACTGGAGGAAGAAGAATTGTCTTGAGCCACACATAAAATACACTAACACTAATGATAGCTGATAGCTGATGAGAAAAAAAAATGCAAAAAAACTTATAATGTTTTAAGAAAGTTTACAAATTTGTGTTGGGTCACATTCAAAGGCATCCTAGGCTACATGTGGCCAATGGGCCATGGGTTGGACAAGCTTGATCTAGAGCCTTTCCACCAGCTGTTCCTCTGGCCCCAAATACTTAAAATGAGCTTCATATGGCTCATTTTTTCTTGTCATTCAAATCTCAGCTTAAATATAGCCCTATAAGAGAGGTTTTTCCTGATGACTCCATAAAAATTAGCCATACAGTCCATCTCTATCATGTTGACTTATTTTAACTCTGGATGATGCTATTTTGAGATATTCTTTATTTGTTTATTAATTATAAGCTCCATGATAACAGTAAAAATGTTTGTCTTGTTCATGTCTGTATCCCAAGTGCCCAGAACAGTTTCTGGCATTGTAGATAATTAAGAAATGTTTATCAAATGGCTCAGTTTCATTTGTGGTTTTCTCTCCCTTAAAAACAAAGAAATAGCCTGGGTGCGGTGGCTCACGTCTGTAATCCCAGCACTTTGGGAGGCTGAGGCAGGCAGATCACTTGAGGTCAGGAGTACGAGACCAGCCTGGCCAACATAGGGAAATCCTGCCTCTACTAAAAATACAAAAATTAGCTGGGTGTGATGATGCATGCCTGTAGTCCCAGCTACTTGGGAGGCTGAGGCAGGAGAATCGCCTGAACCCAGGAGGTGGAGGTTGCAGTGAGCCTAGATTATGCTACGGCACTCCAGCCTGGGCAACAGATTGAGATTCCATCTCAAACAAACAAAAACAAATAAACAAGCAAACAAACAAAAACTAATGGCATTCTACTTTTTCGGTTTCTTTTTGTATTTTTCTTAGGGACAGTAGGAGTTATTTTCACTAGGTCACTTCAGAAAGAATACCATTCTCTTTGATGGTATTGTTTAGTGCAATGAGTTCACGTCATGAGCAGAACTGTTTACTCTATTATATTTGGAATTTCCTACATTTGTTACTCTACGTACTTAAATTGTAAGCTTTTTATCTGTTTCTGGAAAAGAAACTACTGATTGTCTACAAATTTTCATTCTTTCTTTCTTTTTAATTATTAAGGGTGGAAACAGGTTAGCCAAAATACTTAACACCCCAGTCTCCAGTACAGATATAATTTGGCTTTAATATAAAAAGTAGAAGTCATTGGCTGGGTGTGGTGGCTCACACCTGTAATCCCAGCACTTTGGGAGGCCGAGGTGGGTGGATCACAAGGTCACGAGATGGAGACCATCCTGACCAACATGGTGAAACCCCGTCTCTACTAAAAATACAAAAATTAGCTGGGCATGGTGGTGTGTGCCTGTAGTCCCAGCTAATTGGGAGGCTGAGGCAGGAGAATCACTTGAACCCAGGAGGCGGAGCTTACAGTGAGCCAGGGTCATGCCACTGCACTCCAGCCTGGCGACAGAGCGAGACTCCATCTCAAAAAAAAAAAAAAAGAGAGAGAGAAAAATGTGGAAGTCATTATGTAAAATCCTTGGGTAAACTACTTGAAAGGTACTGAACAAAGTATTAGGCAGGAAATCTTTTACTATTGCCTTTTTTTTTTCTTGCTGTCTGGGGAGTGAACATGATGGCTGGAGCTGCAGCAATTATTTGTGACCATGAAGCAACCACAGGGAAGGAAAAGATGTAAGAATAGTAGAGAAAGAAGAAGACATGCTTTGGGTTTCTGATGACTAAATAAATGTCATAACAATCTTGGGCTGCCAATCTCTGGATTTATACACTACAGAAAAACATACCTCTATCATGTTTAATCCACCATCATGTGAGTTTTCTGCTAGACGCTGCTGAGCCTAATACTAATTTCTGTCCCCCTCAAAAAAATGGCACTTTTTTGAATGTTAGGAATATCAGGATGTCAATTTTAATATATTGTTTCATAAAGTGTCTTACTATTCATTAAAAAAATTTGTCATAATTTAGTTTTGGAATTTATTTCCATAAATGTTGATTGCCATGTTCTCATGGTCCTCTCTTGATAGAAGCACTGTGGCTTGGGGGAAGGATGTGGACTTTGGAATCAGATGATCATGTGTTTGAAACTAAGCCTCTTCACCTGTGGCAAATTCCTTGATTATCTGGGCCCCACCTTCCTCAGTGCAACTCATATAGTTTATTATCTCATTTACTTTTAATATTTCATATACTTTTAGTAAGGGTAAAGTGAGGTGATAAAAATAGTCTATCTTCTGTTTGCTGTCATATTTTTACTCAGATGTCTACATGTTTTAAAATGTCATTGTACTATACATTTAAGATTTGCACATTTTACTTTATGTGAATTATATCTTAATTTTTAAAAACTTATAAATAGGCATACCATAAACATAAAAAAAGAAACCCACATACTTCAACATACTGCAGTGTTTTAACATGATTATCATTAGTTCTATAATAAAAAGAGAGATAATCATTCTGTTTGATGGATTGAAATTTACAGGCATTTTAATTTTAAAGTTCAGAAACTGAAATGATTGCATTCTCCTGGACCTGCTCACACATGATAGTCAAATCATGCTGAAGCTTTCTTTTTTCATTTCTGACTCCCCTTCTAAAGCTCCTTACCTTAAAATCTTTTAAGATTCACAATTATTGCCAAGAAGTGTTGTGATTTTGTTTCCTGTACTGAAGACTTGAAGTGTGGGAAACAGAATCGAAAAGTTGTGCTTTTTATTTAAATTAAGGAGTCAGTGTCTCCTTTCTTGGGATGATTCACAAGGAAAGAATTGTTCAGAAATGAAGGAATCATCTGATCTCTGTGGAAAAGATTGTGGCCAAGGTTAGATGTGGGGACTTTGAGACCCTGGGAACTCACCAACCGCCCTGGACTCCCATCCTTTTAGGAAAAACTGTATTTCTTGCCTTAGTTAGTGAGGTGCCATTCCCAGTTTTCTCCTTCTCCAGTCTCTTCTCCCGTTGTTTCCAAATGTATCAGCACATGTGGAAGCGGTTCCCCCTGTCATTTGGGAGGTGCCAATTTACTTCTATGAGAGACAGGCTGGTTTTTACATTACACTGGCAACTATCCTGGACTTTCAAAAAACAGCTCTGTGCTTACCAGCTGACCTGCTTTCAACTAAACAGCTGCTTCTTAAAGTCACGGGTAGAGTTTGCAAATCCTTGGGGATTGAACGTCACGTTACGCCCACCTTTGTTTGAGGATATGAAATGTCCAGGTTATGAACAATAGGAATTGCTTCTGATACAATCACAGCAGATGACCTTCTGTGCTGGCTGGTCTAACTGACTCACCCTGAGATCAGATTAGACAGACCTTGTGTGTTGTGTCAAGAATTGTGTGAATCTGGTTATTCTCCTATTTCTCATCAGTTGCTTACCAAACTAAAATCAGTGAATTTTTGTGAGAGAAAAACCTGTTTTTCCAAGGTTGTTTTTGAAGTGAGGCAGTGAGAATACAGACAAGATTTCTTGTGTGTGAAATATAGTGCTGAGTGGCATATTTGTTGGTGAGGGAGAGAGGAGGCCCAGTGACACAGTTCTGTATACACACGTGCCCAAACACACACCTGCGCTCGCACACACACAGCCATCTCACATGGAGTAACTATGGATTGAGATATCTTTATTTCTGTCTTCGTGAAATAAACTCTAAAAACCATGGAATAAACTCCATTTATTTTTGCTCCTTTTACCTCTTCACCTGTATGATGCACAGTAATTTTGCTCCCCAGGACAGCTTTTAAGATTCTAATCTTGTTCCTGTCCAGCACTTTTCTCACAGCAGTAAGGAAAGGACTGGCATTCCTCCACTATTGTATATAAAGGAGAACCCAGTCTTGGGAATAAGAGCATTGTTTATGTTGAAATTCCCTTAGCTTAGCTGAACCTTCGATTATATCGCCCATTTAGATAACCAGATTTTTACCCCCTGTGGTCTGTTTCCATTCTCAGAGAATTGTCAACAATTTATTTCTGCTCTGGTGATTATTTTCATGAGTGAGGGAGAGAGACATCTGGGAAGATTTTGATAACTGAGTAATGTACACAAAACTCTAAGCACGTTTTTTAAAGATATAATGTGAAAAAATATAGCTTTCCTTGAAAATAGCAAATTGAACTTAGTCACTGCTGAGGTGGCATTTGTAAGCTATGACAATTTTTTAAAAATATAAATTGCATTGTTAACTTGATTTCAGATATCATGGAAAACACTTTTATTTGTATTTCATAAATCTGAATAATGATATTTGAAAAAATCCAATATGATTTATGTAATTTTAATGGATCGCAAATGTGAACCAGATAATTCTATTATTTTTGTAAAAGTTATATGAATTTAGAATTAGACTGCATGGGCTTAAAAGTGCTATGTCAATTTTATGCAACATAATTCTGACAATATAAACCCCTAACCACAAAGATTTTTCATTTCGCAATATTGTGTTTCCTCTGTATAATTCCATTTATTAGGCACTTTCATCCAGAAGCAATAAAAAGTAAGCAAAGACATGTAATGGTTGGTGTATTTTGCCCAATGGGAAACACTTCTGATTATGTGTTCATTGGGGAAATGTTGCTTCATACACTGTTATTCCCATTGTTGAATATTTACAAGGACCAGAGAATATTCAAAGCAAAGCCTTTTTTTTTATTTTGTTAAGTTCCATGTTTATGGCATTGTGTACAAAATGCACATAAAAGACATTTTCTTATCTATTCCTGTTATATTAGAGAAGTTCATGCCCCACTCTTAGCATTTTCCAACACAGCTGTAGAGTAGTTTAAAGCCTATTTTTAAAATAAGTGATGCTCAATTTGTCTTTGATGATCCGGATGATTCAGGTGAGATGGGAGCACGGTCGGGCCCTTATTTGCATAAAAATTAATCACAGAAAAATGTAAATTGATAAAATTTTGCCTGGCTTTTCCACCCTATTTGAGAACCCGTGGATGGCTCCCAGAAGCAATCATCTCAGTATGGGGCCGCATTGGATGCTGTACAAATGATCACATTTGTGTTGAATACTCACTCATTTAAATGTCAGCACTGATGGGGCGGTGCATCAGTAGAAAAAAATGAAAAATAAATACACAGCAGCTGAAGACTATCAAATCTGTGGGCACTCTTTAGAGATATACGATCTAATGTGAAAAATTGCAGATTAATTATCCTTTTTGCAAATGGTAATTGTTTTAGTATCACACCAGAAAAAAATCTGCAATTTATTTGGAATCAAACAAAACACAGTAATGTTAAATACGTCATTACATCATTGTGTTTATTAGAAGCCTGCAATTAATTCCTAAGGCTCCTTTGGTCTTTAATGCTACATAAAATGAAACAAAAGAGTGTTGCTATTAATTTTGAAACAAATGCTTATCTTTCAAATCAGTCTGAGTTGTATGAAAAAGGAAGCAATGTTATGAAAGTTTTGGTAGATACTGTATACTAACTTAATTTCATTGTGCTGCTGACACTGTTGATAATATATTCACAGATCCGTTGAAGCTGTAATGTTAAATTGGAAGGTTTTTGTTCAGTAGCTTGTAACTTTAACTCACCTTGGAAGAAGTTGTGGAGAAGCGTGTTCTCAAGAGGTGCTTTAAGAAAAACAACAGCAATACTAATTTGCGGGACAAGTGTCAGAAACTATTTGTAAGACCTGAAACATAAAAATTCTTTGCGCTGCCTCTAGTGTACCTTTAACATGCATGAGTTTTTAGACATGTAATTTATGTCCATTTGAAATAAAGAATTTTGGTTAGCTATCTCAAGGAAAAAAATAAATTTATTTAAATAAAAATAGGCATAAGCAATTACATTTTCACTCTAAAAGATGGTTGAAAGCCTTTTTTCACAGTAGTATGATTGTTTTTACGGCTTATCCAATCCCTTTATCTTTGCTTCTGGGTGGCTCTTTTTGGCTCCTATGCCTCAGCTGCTTTGGTGTTCCCAGCGTGTGGTATCCATGCAGCATTCCAGCCCAGATGGATATTAGGTTCTTTCTTATTATTCTATAACTTTAGCATAGATTTTAAATGACTGAAACGTTGAACAGATCTTTATTAGCTAGGGAAGACAAATTTAAAACACAGCCTTTCCACCTGCTGACTTACTAAACTCCTATTGAATTAATATTACAGTAACCAATAGTGCCAACACACAAGAAATATTTTGAGATGGTTGAAATCTACTGGCTTTGTAGTTAGTTTGGTGAACAGCCCTTAAAATTTAAATTGACTAACACTTAGAAACTATGCCTGCTTTTGAGATTAAATATAAATTGGCATATAATAAGAATAATCACACACCGTTTATGTTATTTAACAATAACATCACATTTAACTCTGGAAGTCAGCCCTTCCAGAGTGCTGACTGTGAGCCAGATGCCATTCTATTCCTTTACAAATAATAATTTGTTTAATCTTTATAGCAGTTGTATGAAGTAGGTATTCTTTTTAAAATTTATTTTAATTCATGGGGTACATGTGCAGGTTTGTTATATGAATATATTGCATAGTGGTGAGATTTGGGGTTCTAGTGTGCCCATCACTCAAATGGTGAACATTGTACCCAACAGGTAATTTTTCAACCCTCGCTCTCTTTCCACCCTCTCCGCTTTTGGAGTCCCCAGTGTCTATTCTTTCCCTCTGTGGGTCCATGGTACCCATTGTTTAGCTCCCACTTACAAGTAAGAACATGTGGTATTTGATTTTCTGTTTCTTAGTTATTTCACTTAGGTTAATGACCTCCAGCTCCATCCACGTTGCTGCAAAAGACATAATTTTATTTTTTTATGGCTATGTTGTATTCGTGGTGTATATATACCACATTATCATCTGTTGACAATTAAGTTAATTCCATGACTTTGCTATTGTGAACAGTGCTGTGATAAACATATGAGTGCAGGTGTCTTTTTGATATAGTGATTTCTCTTCCTTTGGGCAGATGCACAGTAGTGGGGTTTCTGGGTCAAATGGTAGTTCTATTTTTAGTTCTTCTAGGAGAGGCCCCTATCCAGTTTTACAGAGTTTATCATTATCAGAATCTCTGGGGAAACCTCTTAATTTCTCTTTCACTGGCATATTTTATTTGTTTATGTCAAAGGCATTCTTTTCATTCATTTATTGATCCACCTATTTATTTAAATAAGACTGCTCTTAAAATTTGCAGGGTTGAGAAAAAAACAAAAATGGAAGCCCATGGGCCACCCCCATTTCTGCACAGCCACAACTCTATCCAACACCACAATGGGCTTCCAAATTCACAGCCACACCATCCCCCATGTCCAATATTTGCCCTTTCATGCCTGACAGAGCTATCTCTTGTCTACCTTTCAGTACTAGGAGTTGTACACTAGTAGCATGATATACTACTGGTATACTAGTATTCCAGTCTCTAAAAACAAGTATGGAGCTATTTGGCCAAAGAAGTCTGAGGCCTCAGAGAATGGTCTAGAAGTGAAAAGAAGGCACACAGGTGTCAGATGGGCACTCCCTTTGGTTTCATGGACTCATTGCCCACTGAGTGAAGCAGGAGGCCCAGGGAAGTTGCCATGGCTACATAGATCTGCAGTTAGTATTGTTCTGCATTTTACAAAATGTATTTGGTGTGAGTTATATGCCAGATGCTGTGCTAGGCACTGGGGATGTACTGAAACAAAGTGGACAAAGTCCTATAGTCTACTCTAGTAGATTACAGCCTAGTAGAAATAGATACCATTTCTTATACACTGAATTTTATGATGTCCACAATATCAAGCTGTGACAAATATAGGATTGTTTGCATGTGTGTTCATTAAGAGTTTTCTTTGTATAAAGTACAGTGTTAGAGGAAAATATAAATGACCCTTTTGAGAGGCTCAGAAACTTTGGGAAATTGCTATTGCTTCTTGCCTCTCAGAGAAAATGTCCCAATTTTGCTGTAAAAGAACAGAGAGAAGATCATCTCACATCCTGATTTTAACAGTTTTACTCAACGAATATTTATTGGGTGACTTCTTTTATGACAGTCACACTTGAACTGAACTATTAAAATTACTGTTCAAACTAGGTCACTTTCTGGGCATTTAAGGCTCTTTATGTCTAAACATGGGTTATTTTTCCATGTGGTTTGTATGGCTGTAGGCATCTGTAAAGCTTTTCCTTTAACTTGCTGGACAAGTCTTGGACCTGATTTCCCTCACTGAGAAATGATAAGTGTGAAAAATTAACCATAATTCCTCTCAGATCCAAGAGAAACAGCATCTAGACCTGAAGGCTGGTAAGTGAAAGTGTTCCCTACTCACCCTTGGTCACTGTAATGAGAAGTAAAACATAGATAAGATGCATGGGACATTCCCTGGGCATGTACTGGCTCAGTATTTCACTGTATTTAAAGGTTTGTTCAGAAATGCAAGATTTATGCAACTAGTAAATACCTACCTGATTTTAATACTTTCATTATGATTTAATTTGGAAGGTAATTTGGCATTTAGGCCCTTGAGAGATAGGTGTTCCTCCACAGTAACTTGCAGAGTGCAAGCAGGCTTCCTCACTTCCTGCTCCTTTCTTGCCTTAAGTGTTTCTTGTTGAGTTTCATGTTCTCTCTTAGATGATCTATTCGAAGTGTGATGATGTACTTGCTATTTTAGTTATTCTTTGTGGAGGAGTGAATCCCAGATGCTTCTAGTCAGCCTTCTTGAAGTCCCTCCCTCTCCAAATTTCTTATATTAATAGGAGAGTAGAGGTTAATGGGCACAGTTATGTAGTTCAGAGTTTGGAGGCTCTAAAATTAGAATTCCTATCTCTGTATTTGAAAGTAAATTATTCCTTTTGATCTTTTAAAATACAGGCATAATCAAGTCCCTACATGTACATGTACATATAAACCAGGCACAGAAAGACAGACATTGCATATTCTTATCCATATATGGGAGCTAAAAGAGTTGATCTCCTGGAGGTAGGGAGTAGAATGATAGATACCAGAGGCTGAGAAGGGGGTGTGTGTGTGTGTGTGTGTGTGTGTGTGTGTGTGTGTGTGTGTGTGTTGAGGGGGGACTGGGAGGATGAAGAAATTTGGTTAATGGCACTTGTAGAGTTAGATGGAAGGAATAAGTTCTAACGTTCTATAGCACTGTAGGGTTTCTATCGTTAGCAAAAAGGTGTTGTATATTTCAAAACAGCTAAAAGGAAGACTTGAAATGTTATCAACACATAGAAATGATAAACACTTGAGGTAATGGATATCCTAAATGCCATACTTGATCATTACACATTCTATGCATGGAACAAAATATCACATTTACCCCATAAATATGTACAAATATTATGTATCAATAAAAAAGATGTACAAATATTACATATCAATAAAAAGAGAAACTTTACTTCAGTATCTTCTTATCTATTATGTATTTATTATGTTTCAGATATTGTGCTAGACTTTGTGGATATAACCATGTGCAAGATGGTCAGGATCTCTGTCCTTGCAGAACTTGTAGTGTAGTAAGGGGAACAGAAATTAATCAGTTGTTGGTTAAGACATAAGTGGTGCAAGTTAAAACCATCCAATGTACAGAAGCACCTAATCCAGACAGGTCTGAGGTCACATTAAGTCTTCAGATTCGTGTGAGAATAGGTAAGTCACCTACAATTGGCGTGGATAGCCACATAACTTTTAGAGAACTTCTTTCTATTTTTATCACTTCCCGAGTCAGAGTTAAGTAATTTTAAACATTATGGTCAAATCTGTAGGTATTGGCCTACTGACTTGTTGTACAGAAAAAGAATTCTAATTAGCACCACTCCTTTAGAGAACAATATGGCAATATACATCAATCACTTTAAGTGCTAATATTCTTTGACTTAGCAATTACATTTCTTACTGTTTGGTTTTTTTAGGAAACAGGGTCTCGGTCTGTCACCCAAGGTGGAGTGCAGTGGCACAATCTTGGCTCATTTCAGCCTTGACCTCCTGGGCTCAAGTCATCCTCCCACCTCAGCACCCACGAGTAGCTGGGAATACAGGCAAGCCACAATGCCCGGCTGGTTTTTGTATTTTTTTGTAGAGATGGGGTTTCACTATATTGCCCCTGCTGGTCTCGAACACCTGAGCTCAGGCAATCTGCCCACCTTGGCCTCCCAAAATGCTGGGATTACAGGTGCGAGCCACCATGCCTGGCCAGCAATAACCTTTCTAAATGTCTAGCCTAAGGTAGTAATCCTACATATTGAAAGAGGAAAATGCTTTATGAACAAATATATTCATTAAATATTTTATATAATTTTAAAAACTAGAAGAAACATATTTAATAATAAGGATTTAGTTAAGCAAACTATGGTATTTTGTATAAACTAATTTTTATTGCTACGTAATATTTGTACATATTTATGAAGTACATGTGATTTTATTACAAGCATGAATGTGTAATGATCAAGTCAGAGTGTTTGGGGTGTCCCATTGAGTATTTACCGTTTCTATGTGTTGGGAACTTTTCAAGTCCTTTCTTCTAGCTATTTTCAAATGCACAATACATTGTTGCTAACTATAGTTACCCTACTCTGCTATCAAACATTAGAACTTATTCCTTCTAACTATATGTTTGTATCCATTAAGAAAGCTCTGTTCATCCCCCACAATCCCCAACCACACACCTTTTCCAGTCTCTGGTATCATTCTGCTCTCTACCTTCATGAAATCAACATTTTTAGCTCTCACATATGAGTGAGAATGTGTGATATTTGTCTTTCTGTTCCTGGCTTATTCCACTTATCATAATGACCTCTAGTTTCATCTATGTTGCTGCAAATGACATGATTTCATTTTTTATGGCTAAATAATATTCCATTTTATATATACTCCACATTTTCTTTGTCGATTTGTCCACTGATGGAAGCTTAGGTTGATTCCATAGCTTGCTACTGTGAATAATGCTGCAATAAAGACAGGAGTGTAGGTATCCTTTTGATATACTGATTTCTTTTCCTTTGGATAAATGCCCAGTAGTGGGATGGCTAGATTGTATGGTAGTTCTATTTTTAGCTTTTTTGAGAAATCTCCATACTGTTTTCCCTAATGGCTGTACTAATTTACATTCCCACCAACAGTGTATAAGAGTTTCTTTTCTCTACATCCTTGCCAGCATCTGTTATTTTTTGTCTTTTTAATAATAGCCATTCTAACTGGGGTGAGATGATATCTCATTGTAGTTTTGATTTGCATTTCTCTGACGATTAGTGATGTTGAGTATTTTTTCAAATGCCTGTTGGCCATCTGTATGTCTTTTTTTTTTTAAGTCTATTCACATTCTTTGCCCACTTTTTCATGGAATTATTTGTCTTTTTACTGTTGAATTGTCTAAGTTCCTTGTATATTCTGGATATCAGCCCCTTGTCAGACAAATAGTTTGCAAATATTTTCTCCCATTCAACAGATACTCTTTTTACTTTGTTGATTGTTTACTTTGCTGTGCAGAAGCTTTTTAGTTTAATATAGTCTATTTGTGTATTTTTGACTTTGCTACCTGTGCTTTTGGGGTTTTAGCCATAATATCCATAGACAGAACAAAGTTTTGAAGTGCTTTTTGTTTTCTTCTAGTTTTATAGTTTCGGGTCTTAGGTTTAAGTTTTCAATTCATCTTGAGTTGATTTTTGTCTAATTTCATTCTTCTGCATATGGAGATCCAATTTTCCCAAAACTGATTATTGAATAGGGTGTCTTTTCACCAATGTTTGTTCTTAGCATCTTTGTCAAGAATCTGTTGGCTGTAAATATGTGGATTTATTTTTAGGTTCTCCTTTCTGCTTCATTGGTCCATTTGTCTGTTTTTATACCAATTCCATGTTATTTTTGTCACTGTAGCCTTGTAATATATTTTGAAGTCAGGTAGCATGATGCCTCCAGCTTTGTTCTTTTGCTTGGGATTGCTTTGGTTATTTGGAGTCTTTTTTGTTTCCATATGAATTTTAGAATTTTTTTTCTATTTCTGTAAAAAATGACATTGGCACTTTGATAGGGATTGTATTGAATCTGTAGATTGCTTTTGGCTGTATGGTAATTTTAATGATATTAGTTCTTCTCATCCCTGAACATGGAATGTCTTTCCATTTGTTTGTGTCCCCTTCATTTTCTTTCATCAGTGTATTGTTGTTTTCCTTGTAGAAGTCTTTCACTTTGGTTAAATCTATTGCTAGGTATTTTATTTTATTACTTTGTAGCTATTATAAATGAGCCTCGATTTCTTTCTCAGCTAGTTCACGTTTGGTATATAGAAATACTACCAATTATTGTATGTTAATTTTGTGTCCTGTAAATTTATTGATTATCTCAGAGGTTTGTTTTCATGGAATCTTTAGTGTTTTTTTTATAGCTATAAGATTATATTATCTGCAAAGAGGGACAGTTTGACATCCTCTTTTCCAATTTGGATGCCTTTTATTTTTTTCTTTTGCCTGATTGCTCTGGCTAGGACTTCCAGTACTATGTTGAATAAGAATGGTGAGAGTGGGGTATCCTTGTCTTGCTCCAGTTCTTAGAGGTAATGTTTTTAGCTTTTCCCCATTCAGTATGTTAGCTGTGGGTTTGTCATATGTTGCCTTTATTATGTTGAGGTATGTTCTCTCAGTGTCTAGTTTGTTGATAGTTTTTATCATGAAGAAATGTTAAATTTTATCAAATGCTTTTTCTGTGTCTATTGAGATAATCTTACAGTTTTTGTACCTCATTCTCTTGATGTATTTTATCAAATTTATTGATTTGTGCATGTTGAACCATCCTTGAATCCCTGAAATAAATCCCACGTGATTGTGGTGTGTTATCTTTTTAATGTACTGTTGGATTCAGTTTGCTAGTATTTTGTTGAAAATTTTTACATCTAAATTCATCAAGGATATTGGCTTGTATTTTTCTTTTTGTTGTTGCATCCTTGTCTGGTTTTGGTATTAAGGTAACACTGGCCTTATAGAATGAGCTAGAGAGAGTTCCATAGTCTTTATTTTTTATGGGGAATAGTTTAGAATAGTTTGAAGAGAGCTGGTAAATTCTTCTTTGTAAGTTTGGTAGAATTTGGCAGTGAAGCCATCAGGTCCTGGACTTTTCTTTGCGGAAGACTTTTTGTTACTGATTGAAACTCATTACTTCTTATTGGTTTGTTCAGGTCTTCTGTTTCTTCCTGATTTAATCTTGGTAGGTTGTATGTGTCCAGGAATTTACCCATTCCCTCTAGGTTTTCCAGTTTGCGAATGTATAGTTATTCATAATAGTCTCTGATGAGCTTTTGTTTTCTGTGGTATTAGTTGTAATGTCTCCATTTTCATTTCTGGGTTTATTTGGGTCTTCTCTCTTTTTTTCTTGATGATTCTAGCTAACAGTTCATTGCATTTTTTTGAAAAACCAACTTTTTGTCGATCCTTCTTATTATCCTTTATGTGTGTATTTCATTTATTTCTGCTCTGATATTATTTCTTTCCTTCTACTAATTTTGGGATTTTTTTCTTGCTTTTGTAGTCCCTTGAGGTGCTTTGTTAGATTGTTTGAAATCTTTCTTTTTTTTTTTTTTGATGCAGCTGTTTATTGCCATAAATTTCCCTCTTAGCACTGCTTTTACTGTATCCGACAGGCTTTGGTGTGTTGCGTTTTGGTTTGCATTTTTTCAATAACTTTTTTTATTTCTCCTTAATTTCTTCCTTGATCCAATGGTCATTCAGGAGAATGTTTAATTTCTATGTATTTGTAGTTTCAAAAGTTCCTCTTGTTATTATCTTCTAGTTTTATCTTTTTTTTGGTCTGAGAAGAGACTTGATATGACTTCAGGTTTTTAAAATATGTTGGGACTTGTTTTGTGTCCTAACAAATGGTCTATCCTGGAGAATGTTCCATGTACTGATGAGAAAAAAATGAGTATTCTGTAGCTATTGGATGAAGTGTCCTGTAAAAGTGTTTAGTCCATTTGGTCTAACATGCAGTTTAAATCCAATGTTTCTTTCTTAATTTTCTATCTACATGACCTGTCTATGTTGAGAGTAGGATGTTGATGTATCCAACTGTTACTGTATTACAGTTTATTTCTCCCTTTATGTTTAATATTATTTGGTTCATGCACCCGTGTTGGGTGCATATATGTTTAGAATTGTTATATCCTCTTACTGAATTGATCACTTTATCATTATATAATGACTTTCTTTGTCTCTTTTTATTATTTTAAACCAACGTCTGTTTTATCTAAGTGTAGCTACTCCTGCTCACATTTGGTTTTCATTTTCAGGGAATCTGTTTTTCGACTCCTTTACTTTCAGACTATATGTGTCTTTATAGATAAAGTGAGTTTCTTGTAAGCCACTGTATTAATGTGTTCTCGCATTGCTGTAAAGAAAAGAGGTTTAATTAGTCCATGGTTCCACAGGCTGTAAAGGAAACATGGCAGCTTCTGCTTGGCTTCTGGAGATGCCTCAGGAAACTTACAGTCATAGTGGAAGACAAATAGGGAGCCAGTACTTCACATGGCCAGAGCAGGAGGAAGAGAGAGAGGGGGGAGATGCTACATTTTTTTTTTTTTTTTTGAGATGGAGTCTCACTCTGTCACCCAGGTTGGAGTGCAGTGGTGCCATCTTGGCTCACTCTTTAACTGCCACCTCCCCGGTTCAAGTGATTCTCCTGCCTCAGCTTCATGAGTAGATGGGATTACAAGTGCACACCATCACGCCTGGCTAAATTTTGTATTTTTAGTAGAGATGGGGTTTTGCCATGTTGCCCAGGCTGGTCTCGAACTCCTGACCTCAGGTTATCCACCCACTTCAGCCCCCAAAAGTGCTGGGATTACGGTCATAAGCCACCACGCCTGGCCGGTGCTACATACTTTTAAACAAGCAGATGTTGTGAGAACTCTTAACAAGAGGACAGCACCAGGGGGATGATTTTAAACCATGAGAAACTACCCCTATGATTCAGTCACCTCCCACCAGGACCAACCTCCAACATTGGGGATTATAATTGAACATGAGATTTGGGTGGGGACACAGATCCAAACCATATCAGCCACATAGTGTTTGATCATTTTCTTTTAATCCATTTGGCTTGTCTGTATCTTTTAAATGGAAAGTTTAATCTATTTACATTCAAGGTTATGTTATGATGTGAGGACTTATTTTTGTCAATTTATTAATTCTTTTTTTGTTTTCTTTTTTGGTATAGCCTTGTTTCTTTCTTTATCTTTTATTTTTATCATTGTGGTTTGGTGGTTTTCTATAGTGGTAACATTTTAGTCTTTTCTCTTTCTTATTTATGTGTTTGCTCTACCAGTGGGTTTTATACTTTTGTATGTTTTCATGATGGTAGATATCATCCTCTTGTTTCCAAGTGTAGGATTTTAAGCATTTTTTGTAGGGCTGGTCTAGTGATAACAAATTTTCTCAGTTTTTGCTTTTCTGAGAAAGACTTTATTTCTCCTTCATTAATGAAGGGTAACTTTTCTGGATATAACATGTGACAGTTTTTTTCTTTCAGCATTTTGAATATATTATCTCATTCTCTCCTATAATGTTTCTACTAAGAAACTTGCTGTTAGTCTGCTAGAGGTTTCCTCATAAGTGACTAGATGCTTTTCTCTAGCTGTGTTTAGAATTTTCTCTGTTATTGACTTTGCCAGTTATACTATAATATGCAATGGAGAAGACTTTTTTGAATTGCATCTATTTGAGGATCTCTGAGCTTCCTGTACTTGGATGTCTAAATCTCTTGCTGGACTTGGAAAGGTTTCAGTTATTATTTCATTCAATATGTTTTCTATCCTTTTTGTTTTCTATTTGCCTCCTGGGACACTGGAAATTCAAATATTTGATCACTTTATGGTGTGCCATATGTAATGTAGACTTTGTTTTTCTTTTCAAAATTTTTGTTTGATTGGTTATTTCAAAAAGCCTGTTTTTGGCCAGGTGCAGTGGCTCATGCCTGTAATCCCAGCACTTTGGGAGGCTGAGGCAGGCCGATCACAAGGTCAGGAGATCGAGACCATCGTGGCTAATACAGTGAAACCCCGTCTCTACTAAAAATACAAAAAATTAGCTGGGCGTGGTGGCGGGCACCTGTAGTCCCAGCTACTTGGGAAGCTGAGGCAGGAGAATGGTGTGAACCCGGGAGGCAGAGCTTGCGGTGAGCCAAGATCGCGCCACTGCACTCCAGCCTGGGTGGCAGAGTGAGACTCCGTCTCAAAAAAAAAAAAAAAAAAAAAAAACAAAGGCCTGTTTTTAAGTTCAGAAATTCTTTCTTCTACATGACATACTCTTGTTGAAGCTCTCAAATGTATTTTTTTATGTCATTCAATGGATTATTTCATTCCTAGGATTTGTTTGGTTCTTTTGTAATGATATCTATCTCTTTAATAAATTTCTCATTTATATTTGAATTATTTTCCTAATTTCTTTGTATTGTTTATCTGTATTTTCTTGTATCTCACTGAGCTTCTTTAGTATCATTATTTTGAATTCTTTCTCTGGCATTTCATAATTTATTTTTCACTAGACTCTTACTGGAGAATTATTGTGTTCTTTTGTTCTTTTGGAGATGTGATCTTTTCTTGATTGTTCTTTTTTTTGTGTGTGTCTTTATGTTATTGATATCTGCATATCTGGCATAATAGTTGCTTCATCCAATTTTTTGAATTAGCTTTTGTAGATGAGGACTTTTTCATGAAGATGTATTTACGGTGTTGGTTGGGTCAGTAATGTCTGTGATTTCCTCAGTGGATTAGGATGGAGTTGTTAGTTGTGGTGAAATTTTGCTGGGGATGGGGATACCAGGTGGAACTTTGTGTGTGTGTGGGCGCACCAGCTGTGATGATAGTGGCAGATTGGGTGGGCCCAACCTCAGGCCTCTGGAAGGAGTGCTCAGGTGCCAATGGTGGTGTGCTGTGCTGGGCAATCTCCAGGCCCCCAGATGGCATGCTTAGGCACTGGATAAGGAGCTGGGCTGGGCCAACTTGACCTCAGGTCCCCTATGGTGCATGCAGATGCTGGCTGTGGTAGGCAGATATGGGGTAATCCCCAGGTCCCTGATGAAAAGGTTGAGTTGGGGGAAGGATCAGTGGCTGTGCTGTGGCCCTGCTACTGGGGAGGGCAGGATTGCTGTCATTGGCAGAAACCATAGTCAGGCAGCTGGGGAGTGTACACTTTAGCCCCAGATGGTGGCTGCAGGTGGAGTAGCTTGTCCTCAGGGCATTAGCAAATGTGTGACAGTTCCTCTGTTGGGGGTGGTGGAGTCACTGCCAATGGCTCATGCTTTGGCCTTGGTGGCAACTGCCAGCAGCAGTGGCAGAGTCTGTCCTTGGGGTGCTTGAAAATGTACATAGTTTTGCTGGTGGGAGCAGTGGGGTCACAACTTACAGCTTGCACTTCAGCCCTGGTGGCAGCAGCAAGCCACAGTGGTAGCTGCAAGTGGGAGATGTCAATGTAGCTCCATGGATTTGTAGATGTAGGGGCTGTTGGACCCCAGGGCAGGATGTAGTCTTGTGGGGACTGGGCCCTCAAAATGGTGCCATGCTGTAGCTGCTTAGGACTTGGGGAACCAGCATGAGCTCTCTCTCTCTGAAGCAATGCTGTTGTGTGGCCTCCAGGCATCTCACTATGTTAGTTTCAGGACCTGCGAGGGTTGAGGCACTTTTCCATGGCTCCAACTACAGGAGTCTATTGTGGAAATGTAGATTGCTAGGGATATCTTACTTACCCTTTCCCCACACTGGGGATCCTCTCCAGATTCCCATTCTATCCTAACTAAATAGGCTGCCTCATTTCCCTCCTTCCTTGCTTTTGGTGTTTTCTGTTACTTCTCTGTTGAATTCCAGTGTTCTGTCTTAGATGATCTATTAGAAGTGTGATAATCTGCCCACTATTTTGGTTCTTCTTTGTGAAGGAGGCAAATACCAGATACCTCTAGTCAAGTCCCTCTTCTATGAACTTTTATGCAGTTACTAAAAATGATGAATATGAAAAACATAATGCAAGTATTACCAGTTTTAAAGAAAATTAGGACATAAAAATTTAAAATGTAGTTTGATTATAATATTACAACTTGTTTTAAATAAAAGGAAATGAATGAAAATGAACTCCAAAAAATCTGTAGTAAAAAAGTCTAGCTAAAGAGGAATATGCAAATATGAATTATAAAATTTTCTCTATTTCTACACTCAAAACTTACCTCAAAGCAAAGAAGCAATTACTGTTGGAATTTATAACTTATTTTGAAATTATATATTAGTTTCCTTTGGCTGGTGTAACAAACTGCCTCAAACTTGGTGACTTAAAACAATAGAAATTTATCTTCATAATTCTAGATGCCAGAAATTTAAAAATCAGTATCATTGAGCCAAAATCAAGTGTCAGTGGGGCCATACTACCTCTGGAGGTTATAGGGAACAATACATTCCTTGCCTCTCAGCTTTTGGTGGCTGCCAGCATCCCTTGGTTTGAGGCCTCATCACTTTAATCTTTGCTTTTGTGATCATATTGCCTTCTCCTCTTTTGTAGTGTCAAAATTCCTTCTGCCTCTCTCTTCTAAGGACACTTATGATTAGGTTTAGGGCCTAAACACAGATAATCCAGGAAATCTACCTATTTCAAAATCCTGAACTTAATCATACCCACAAAGTTTAATTTTGCCTCTAAAGTAATATTCATGTTTTAGGAATTAGGGTGTGAGCATCTTTAGAGGGACCATTATTCTACCACAGACTGTAACATATCAACTCTTTGT